>NW_018654708.1:165015-330031 GCF_000001405.40 Homo sapiens
TACTCGGGAGGCTGAGGCCGGGGAATGGCGTGAACCCGGGAGGCGGAGCTTGCAGTGAGCCGAGATGGCGCCACTGCACTCCAGCCTGGGCGACAGGGCGAGACTCCGTCTGGAAGAAAAGGAAAGAAACAGCAAAAAGCCAAAGAAAAAGCCTACAGCACCCGGTATTCCCAGGCGGTCTCCCATCCAAGTACTAACCAGGCCCGACCCTGCTTAGCTTCCGAGATCAGACGAGATCGGGCGCGTTCAGGGTGGTATGGCCGTAGACGCTGAAGGAGGCGCCTGGCTGCCCCAAGAGCCCAGCCCGGCCCGGCCGTGCCCGCCGGATTGCAGCCGACACCGCCAGCCCGGGGCCGCGGGGCTCGGATCGGGGACCCCCGAGCCGCTGGCCCGCGGCCTTCCCCCGGCTCCCGCGCTCCCGAGCTTCCACCACATCGGGCCCGCTCGGAGCAGGGAGTGCTCCGAGGCGTCAGGGCCCAGGGCCCACGATCCTGGGACGCCCTCCGGTCCTCCGCCCTGTCGCGGAGGCAGCGTTTTGGATCCCTCGCCGCACAGGGGCTCCTGCGAGGCCCCCTCTTGCCCCACCCACCCAGAGCCGTCAGGGCTGGCCGAAGGCGAACAGCCGGCCCAGCCGCGCGGGGCCTTTCTCTCACAACGCCCCCACCACGGTCGCTTGTCCCGACCAAGACCCGGCCGGGGGGGCAAGAGGGCGTGGGGTGTAGCGGGTCGGGGGGTGGCCCTGTTTTGCCCCGGGCTGGCACTAGAGGCGGCGGCCTGATCTCGGGTGAGAGGGCCTGAGAGAAACCCAGACACACCCCACCGCCACCAGGAGCAAATCCACTCCCCCACACACAGACACACCCGGGCGCGCTCGCACGCGCGCGCGCGGACACACACGCACACACACACACACACAGACACACACGCACACACGCACGCGCACACGCACGCACACACACACGCGGCTTGAAGGAGAGCAAGGACGAGATGGATGGAGAGATAGAAACCGAGGGAGGGAGAGAGACAGCGATCGAGAGAGACAGGGGAGGGCGAGAGGGAAGGAGACAGACAGAGAGGCTGAGAAAGAGAGAGGCACAGAGAAAGAGAGAGAGAGAGACAGAGAGACAGAGGGAAAACGACAGAAGTAGCGCGAGGTCCAGGGGGAAACCCAGAAGAGAGAGGCGGAGGGAGCTAGAGAGCGAGAGCGATAGAGCCTTAGAGAGGAAGCGCCCGGCTCCGTTAGGCAGCGCCCTCTTGAGCAGGCCGGGATAGGGTGGAGGGGGCTTGGGCTGCGCCCAGAACACGGGGGCCAGGCGGTCCGTGCGAGAGGACCAACGGAGCGCTGAGGCGGGCGTTTTCTTGGATGAATTGCTTGCTTTGGAGGTGGGTTTCGTAGGCTCCTGCCTTTCTTGGCACCTCCCTGTGCTCTGGGTGCCTTGCGGCGGGCCCCGAGATTTGCAGAGCGCGCCCGCCCGTTTGGCGGGAGCCGTGGCACCGGGCGGGCCCGGAGGCCTGGGTCTCTGGCGAGTCCTCGGGACTGGAGTCGTCGACACGAAGCGGGGGGCATTGGGAATCCCGGGTGCACAGGGCCTGTTTTCCCGGTGGCTGGCGAAGCAATGTCCTTCCCCCGGGTAAAGCAGCCCATGCGTTCCGGAGCCGACGTCTTGGCTGGCGTCTGTGGCACCCGCTGCCCCTGCCCGCCCCTTCCCCCGGTTTGGAAGGGTGCGACGACGGCGCCCGATGGGTGAATTGAATCGCCTGGGCGTTCCGGGAGCGGGAAGGCACCGCGAACGGCAGGGAACCCAGCGGCTGCGCCTTTGGGGTCCGGCCCCCTGCCCTCCCAGGCTGGAGCCGGGCTCCTGGCGGGGCGGCGGCGAGGCGGAAGCGGTGGGATGCTGCTGCCCGGCCGGCGTGCAGTAGGGGCGGACCCCCAGCAGGAGGACCCCGGCTGCGGCTGCGGCGGGGGTGTAGGTGGGCGGTAAAGGGGGAGCAGAGTCAGGGGAGGTTGGGAAGCATGGCGACTGTGGGGGGAAGGGAGGCAGCGGGGAAGCCACAAAAGCCTACAGCAGGCCGGGCGGGCGCGGTGGCTCGCGCCTGTAATCCCAGCACTCTGGGAGGCCGAGGCGGGTGGATCACGAGGTCAGGAGCTCCAGACCATCCCGGCTAACAGGGTGAAAGCCCGTCTCTAGGAAAAATAGAACAAAGTAGCCGGGCGTGGTGGCGGGCGCCTGTAGGCCCAGCTACTCGGGAGGCTGAGGCCGGGGAATGGCGTGAACCCGGGAGGCGGAGCTTGCAGTGAGCCGAGATGGCGCCACTGCACTCCAGCCTGGGCGACAGGGCGAGACTCCGTCTGGAAGAAAAGGAAAGAAACAGCAAAAAGCCAAAGAAAAAGCCTACAGCACCCGGTATTCCCAGGCGGTCTCCCATCCAAGTACTAACCAGGCCCGACCCTGCTTAGCTTCCGAGATCAGACGAGATCGGGCGCGTTCAGGGTGGTATGGCCGTAGACGCTGAAGGAGGCGCCTGGCTGCCCCAAGAGCCCAGCCCGGCCCGGCCGTGCCCGCCGGATTGCAGCCGACACCGCCAGCCCGGGGCCGCGGGGCTCGGATCGGGGACCCCCGAGCCGCTGGCCCGCGGCCTTCCCCCGGCTCCCGCGCTCCCGAGCTTCCACCACATCGGGCCCGCTCGGAGCAGGGAGTGCTCCGAGGCGTCAGGGCCCAGGGCCCACGATCCTGGGACGCCCTCCGGTCCTCCGCCCTGTCGCGGAGGCAGCGTTTTGGATCCCTCGCCGCACAGGGGCTCCTGCGAGGCCCCCTCTTGCCCCACCCACCCAGAGCCGTCAGGGCTGGCCGAAGGCGAACAGCCGGCCCAGCCGCGCGGGGCCTTTCTCTCACAACGCCCCCACCACGGTCGCTTGTCCCGACCAAGACCCGGCCGGGGGGGCAAGAGGGCGTGGGGTGTAGCGGGTCGGGGGGTGGCCCTGTTTTGCCCCGGGCTGGCACTAGAGGCGGCGGCCTGATCTCGGGTGAGAGGGCCTGAGAGAAACCCAGACACACCCCACCGCCACCAGGAGCAAATCCACTCCCCCACACACAGACACACCCGGGCGCGCTCGCACGCGCGCGCGCGGACACACACGCACACACACACACACACAGACACACACGCACACACGCACGCGCACACGCACGCACACACACACGCGGCTTGAAGGAGAGCAAGGACGAGATGGATGGAGAGATAGAAACCGAGGGAGGGAGAGAGACAGCGATCGAGAGAGACAGGGGAGGGCGAGAGGGAAGGAGACAGACAGAGAGGCTGAGAAAGAGAGAGGCACAGAGAAAGAGAGAGAGAGAGACAGAGAGACAGAGGGAAAACGACAGAAGTAGCGCGAGGTCCAGGGGGAAACCCAGAAGAGAGAGGCGGAGGGAGCTAGAGAGCGAGAGCGATAGAGCCTTAGAGAGGAAGCGCCCGGCTCCGTTAGGCAGCGCCCTCTTGAGCAGGCCGGGATAGGGTGGAGGGGGCTTGGGCTGCGCCCAGAACACGGGGGCCAGGCGGTCCGTGCGAGAGGACCAACGGAGCGCTGAGGCGGGCGTTTTCTTGGATGAATTGCTTGCTTTGGAGGTGGGTTTCGTAGGCTCCTGCCTTTCTTGGCACCTCCCTGTGCTCTGGGTGCCTTGCGGCGGGCCCCGAGATTTGCAGAGCGCGCCCGCCCGTTTGGCGGGAGCCGTGGCACCGGGCGGGCCCGGAGGCCTGGGTCTCTGGCGAGTCCTCGGGACTGGAGTCGTCGACACGAAGCGGGGGGCATTGGGAATCCCGGGTGCACAGGGCCTGTTTTCCCGGTGGCTGGCGAAGCAATGTCCTTCCCCCGGGTAAAGCAGCCCATGCGTTCCGGAGCCGACGTCTTGGCTGGCGTCTGTGGCACCCGCTGCCCCTGCCCGCCCCTTCCCCCGGTTTGGAAGGGTGCGACGACGGCGCCCGATGGGTGAATTGAATCGCCTGGGCGTTCCGGGAGCGGGAAGGCACCGCGAACGGCAGGGAACCCAGCGGCTGCGCCTTTGGGGTCCGGCCCCCTGCCCTCCCAGGCTGGAGCCGGGCTCCTGGCGGGGCGGCGGCGAGGCGGAAGCGGTGGGATGCTGCTGCCCGGCCGGCGTGCAGTAGGGGCGGACCCCCAGCAGGAGGACCCCGGCTGCGGCTGCGGCGGGGGTGTAGGTGGGCGGTAAAGGGGAGCAGAGTCAGGGGAGGTTGGGAAGCATGGCGACTGTGGGGGGAAGGGAGGCAGCGGGGAAGCCACAAAAGCCTACAGCAGGCCGGGCGGGCGCGGTGGCTCGCGCCTGTAATCCCAGCACTCTGGGAGGCCGAGGCGGGTGGATCACGAGGTCAGGAGCTCCAGACCATCCCGGCTAACAGGGTGAAAGCCCGTCTCTAGGAAAAATAGAACAAAGTAGCCGGGCGTGGTGGCGGGCGCCTGTAGGCCCAGCTACTCGGGAGGCTGAGGCCGGGGAATGGCGTGAACCCGGGAGGCGGAGCTTGCAGTGAGCCGAGATGGCGCCACTGCACTCCAGCCTGGGCGACAGGGCGAGACTCCGTCTGGAAGAAAAGGAAAGAAACAGCAAAAAGCCAAAGAAAAAGCCTACAGCACCCGGTATTCCCAGGCGGTCTCCCATCCAAGTACTAACCAGGCCCGACCCTGCTTAGCTTCCGAGATCAGACGAGATCGGGCGCGTTCAGGGTGGTATGGCCGTAGACGCTGAAGGAGGCGCCTGGCTGCCCCAAGAGCCCAGCCCGGCCCGGCCGTGCCCGCCGGATTGCAGCCGACACCGCCAGCCCGGGGCCGCGGGGCTCGGATCGGGGACCCCCGAGCCGCTGGCCCGCGGCCTTCCCCCGGCTCCCGCGCTCCCGAGCTTCCACCACATCGGGCCCGCTCGGAGCAGGGAGTGCTCCGAGGCGTCAGGGCCCAGGGCCCACGATCCTGGGACGCCCTCCGGTCCTCCGCCCTGTCGCGGAGGCAGCGTTTTGGATCCCTCGCCGCACAGGGGCTCCTGCGAGGCCCCCTCTTGCCCCACCCACCCAGAGCCGTCAGGGCTGGCCGAAGGCGAACAGCCGGCCCAGCCGCGCGGGGCCTTTCTCTCACAACGCCCCCACCACGGTCGCTTGTCCCGACCAAGACCCGGCCGGGGGGGCAAGAGGGCGTGGGGTGTAGCGGGTCGGGGGGTGGCCCTGTTTTGCCCCGGGCTGGCACTAGAGGCGGCGGCCTGATCTCGGGTGAGAGGGCCTGAGAGAAACCCAGACACACCCCACCGCCACCAGGAGCAAATCCACTCCCCCACACACAGACACACCCGGGCGCGCTCGCACGCGCGCGCGCGGACACACACGCACACACACACACACAGACACACACGCACACACGCACGCGCACACGCACGCACACACACACGCGGCTTGAAGGAGAGCAAGGACGAGATGGATGGAGAGATAGAAACCGAGGGAGGGAGAGAGACAGCGATCGAGAGAGACAGGGGAGGGCGAGAGGGAAGGAGACAGACAGAGAGGCTGAGAAAGAGAGAGGCACAGAGAAAGAGAGAGAGAGAGACAGAGAGACAGAGGGAAAACGACAGAAGTAGCGCGAGGTCCAGGGGGAAACCCAGAAGAGAGAGGCGGAGGGAGCTAGAGAGCGAGAGCGATAGAGCCTTAGAGAGGAAGCGCCCGGCTCCGTTAGGCAGCGCCCTCTTGAGCAGGCCGGGATAGGGTGGAGGGGGCTTGGGCTGCGCCCAGAACACGGGGGCCAGGCGGTCCGTGCGAGAGGACCAACGGAGCGCTGAGGCGGGCGTTTTCTTGGATGAATTGCTTGCTTTGGAGGTGGGTTTCGTAGGCTCCTGCCTTTCTTGGCACCTCCCTGTGCTCTGGGTGCCTTGCGGCGGGCCCCGAGATTTGCAGAGCGCGCCCGCCCGTTTGGCGGGAGCCGTGGCACCGGGCGGGCCCGGAGGCCTGGGTCTCTGGCGAGTCCTCGGGACTGGAGTCGTCGACACGAAGCGGGGGGCATTGGGAATCCCGGGTGCACAGGGCCTGTTTTCCCGGTGGCTGGCGAAGCAATGTCCTTCCCCCGGGTAAAGCAGCCCATGCGTTCCGGAGCCGACGTCTTGGCTGGCGTCTGTGGCACCCGCTGCCCCTGCCCGCCCCTTCCCCCGGTTTGGAAGGGTGCGACGACGGCGCCCGATGGGTGAATTGAATCGCCTGGGCGTTCCGGGAGCGGGAAGGCACCGCGAACGGCAGGGAACCCAGCGGCTGCGCCTTTGGGGTCCGGCCCCCTGCCCTCCCAGGCTGGAGCCGGGCTCCTGGCGGGGCGGCGGCGAGGCGGAAGCGGTGGGATGCTGCTGCCCGGCCGGCGTGCAGTAGGGCGGACCCCCAGCAGGAGGACCCCGGCTGCGGCTGCGGCGGGGGTGTAGGTGGGCGGTAAAGGGGGAGCAGAGTCAGGGGAGGTTGGGAAGCATGGCGACTGTGGGGGGAAGGGAGGCAGCGGGGAAGCCACAAAAGCCTACAGCAGGCCGGGCGGGCGCGGTGGCTCGCGCCTGTAATCCCAGCACTCTGGGAGGCCGAGGCGGGTGGATCACGAGGTCAGGAGCTCCAGACCATCCCGGCTAACAGGGTGAAAGCCCGTCTCTAGGAAAAATAGAACAAAGTAGCCGGGCGTGGTGGCGGGCGCCTGTAGGCCCAGCTACTCGGGAGGCTGAGGCCGGGGAATGGCGTGAACCCGGGAGGCGGAGCTTGCAGTGAGCCGAGATGGCGCCACTGCACTCCAGCCTGGGCGACAGGGCGAGACTCCGTCTGGAAGAAAAGGAAAGAAACAGCAAAAAGCCAAAGAAAAAGCCTACAGCACCCGGTATTCCCAGGCGGTCTCCCATCCAAGTACTAACCAGGCCCGACCCTGCTTAGCTTCCGAGATCAGACGAGATCGGGCGCGTTCAGGGTGGTATGGCCGTAGACGCTGAAGGAGGCGCCTGGCTGCCCCAAGAGCCCAGCCCGGCCCGGCCGTGCCCGCCGGATTGCAGCCGACACCGCCAGCCCGGGGCCGCGGGGCTCGGATCGGGGACCCCCGAGCCGCTGGCCCGCGGCCTTCCCCCGGCTCCCGCGCTCCCGAGCTTCCACCACATCGGGCCCGCTCGGAGCAGGGAGTGCTCCGAGGCGTCAGGGCCCAGGGCCCACGATCCTGGGACGCCCTCCGGTCCTCCGCCCTGTCGCGGAGGCAGCGTTTTGGATCCCTCGCCGCACAGGGGCTCCTGCGAGGCCCCCTCTTGCCCCACCCACCCAGAGCCGTCAGGGCTGGCCGAAGGCGAACAGCCGGCCCAGCCGCGCGGGGCCTTTCTCTCACAACGCCCCCACCACGGTCGCTTGTCCCGACCAAGACCCGGCCGGGGGGGCAAGAGGGCGTGGGGTGTAGCGGGTCGGGGGGTGGCCCTGTTTTGCCCCGGGCTGGCACTAGAGGCGGCGGCCTGATCTCGGGTGAGAGGGCCTGAGAGAAACCCAGACACACCCCACCGCCACCAGGAGCAAATCCACTCCCCCACACACAGACACACCCGGGCGCGCTCGCACGCGCGCGCGCGGACACACACGCACACACACACACACACACAGACACACACGCACACACGCACGCGCACACGCACGCACACACACACGCGGCTTGAAGGAGAGCAAGGACGAGATGGATGGAGAGATAGAAACCGAGGGAGGGAGAGAGACAGCGATCGAGAGAGACAGGGGAGGGCGAGAGGGAAGGAGACAGACAGAGAGGCTGAGAAAGAGAGAGGCACAGAGAAAGAGAGAGAGAGAGACAGAGAGACAGAGGGAAAACGACAGAAGTAGCGCGAGGTCCAGGGGGAAACCCAGAAGAGAGAGGCGGAGGGAGCTAGAGAGCGAGAGCGATAGAGCCTTAGAGAGGAAGCGCCCGGCTCCGTTAGGCAGCGCCCTCTTGAGCAGGCCGGGATAGGGTGGAGGGGGCTTGGGCTGCGCCCAGAACACGGGGGCCAGGCGGTCCGTGCGAGAGGACCAACGGAGCGCTGAGGCGGGCGTTTTCTTGGATGAATTGCTTGCTTTGGAGGTGGGTTTCGTAGGCTCCTGCCTTTCTTGGCACCTCCCTGTGCTCTGGGTGCCTTGCGGCGGGCCCCGAGATTTGCAGAGCGCGCCCGCCCGTTTGGCGGGAGCCGTGGCACCGGGCGGGCCCGGAGGCCTGGGTCTCTGGCGAGTCCTCGGGACTGGAGTCGTCGACACGAAGCGGGGGGCATTGGGAATCCCGGGTGCACAGGGCCTGTTTTCCCGGTGGCTGGCGAAGCAATGTCCTTCCCCCGGGTAAAGCAGCCCATGCGTTCCGGAGCCGACGTCTTGGCTGGCGTCTGTGGCACCCGCTGCCCCTGCCCGCCCCTTCCCCCGGTTTGGAAGGGTGCGACGACGGCGCCCGATGGGTGAATTGAATCGCCTGGGCGTTCCGGGAGCGGGAAGGCACCGCGAACGGCAGGGAACCCAGCGGCTGCGCCTTTGGGGTCCGGCCCCCTGCCCTCCCAGGCTGGAGCCGGGCTCCTGGCGGGGCGGCGGCGAGGCGGAAGCGGTGGGATGCTGCTGCCCGGCCGGCGTGCAGTAGGGGCGGACCCCCAGCAGGAGGACCCCGGCTGCGGCTGCGGCGGGGGTGTAGGTGGGCGGTAAAGGGGGAGCAGAGTCAGGGGAGGTTGGGAAGCATGGCGACTGTGGGGGGAAGGGAGGCAGCGGGGAAGCCACAAAAGCCTACAGCAGGCCGGGCGGGCGCGGTGGCTCGCGCCTGTAATCCCAGCACTCTGGGAGGCCGAGGCGGGTGGATCACGAGGTCAGGAGCTCCAGACCATCCCGGCTAACAGGGTGAAAGCCCGTCTCTAGGAAAAATAGAACAAAGTAGCCGGGCGTGGTGGCGGGCGCCTGTAGGCCCAGCTACTCGGGAGGCTGAGGCCGGGGAATGGCGTGAACCCGGGAGGCGGAGCTTGCAGTGAGCCGAGATGGCGCCACTGCACTCCAGCCTGGGCGACAGGGCGAGACTCCGTCTGGAAGAAAAGGAAAGAAACAGCAAAAAGCCAAAGAAAAAGCCTACAGCACCCGGTATTCCCAGGCGGTCTCCCATCCAAGTACTAACCAGGCCCGACCCTGCTTAGCTTCCGAGATCAGACGAGATCGGGCGCGTTCAGGGTGGTATGGCCGTAGACGCTGAAGGAGGCGCCTGGCTGCCCCAAGAGCCCAGCCCGGCCCGGCCGTGCCCGCCGGATTGCAGCCGACACCGCCAGCCCGGGGCCGCGGGGCTCGGATCGGGGACCCCCGAGCCGCTGGCCCGCGGCCTTCCCCCGGCTCCCGCGCTCCCGAGCTTCCACCACATCGGGCCCGCTCGGAGCAGGGAGTGCTCCGAGGCGTCAGGGCCCAGGGCCCACGATCCTGGGACGCCCTCCGGTCCTCCGCCCTGTCGCGGAGGCAGCGTTTTGGATCCCTCGCCGCACAGGGGCTCCTGCGAGGCCCCCTCTTGCCCCACCCACCCAGAGCCGTCAGGGCTGGCCGAAGGCGAACAGCCGGCCCAGCCGCGCGGGGCCTTTCTCTCACAACGCCCCCACCACGGTCGCTTGTCCCGACCAAGACCCGGCCGGGGGGGCAAGAGGGCGTGGGGTGTAGCGGGTCGGGGGGTGGCCCTGTTTTGCCCCGGGCTGGCACTAGAGGCGGCGGCCTGATCTCGGGTGAGAGGGCCTGAGAGAAACCCAGACACACCCCACCGCCACCAGGAGCAAATCCACTCCCCCACACACAGACACACCCGGGCGCGCTCGCACGCGCGCGCGCGGACACACACGCACACACACACACACACAGACACACACGCACACACGCACGCGCACACGCACGCACACACACACGCGGCTTGAAGGAGAGCAAGGACGAGATGGATGGAGAGATAGAAACCGAGGGAGGGAGAGAGACAGCGATCGAGAGAGACAGGGGAGGGCGAGAGGGAAGGAGACAGACAGAGAGGCTGAGAAAGAGAGAGGCACAGAGAAAGAGAGAGAGAGAGACAGAGAGACAGAGGGAAAACGACAGAAGTAGCGCGAGGTCCAGGGGGAAACCCAGAAGAGAGAGGCGGAGGGAGCTAGAGAGCGAGAGCGATAGAGCCTTAGAGAGGAAGCGCCCGGCTCCGTTAGGCAGCGCCCTCTTGAGCAGGCCGGGATAGGGTGGAGGGGGCTTGGGCTGCGCCCAGAACACGGGGGCCAGGCGGTCCGTGCGAGAGGACCAACGGAGCGCTGAGGCGGGCGTTTTCTTGGATGAATTGCTTGCTTTGGAGGTGGGTTTCGTAGGCTCCTGCCTTTCTTGGCACCTCCCTGTGCTCTGGGTGCCTTGCGGCGGGCCCCGAGATTTGCAGAGCGCGCCCGCCCGTTTGGCGGGAGCCGTGGCACCGGGCGGGCCCGGAGGCCTGGGTCTCTGGCGAGTCCTCGGGACTGGAGTCGTCGACACGAAGCGGGGGGCATTGGGAATCCCGGGTGCACAGGGCCTGTTTTCCCGGTGGCTGGCGAAGCAATGTCCTTCCCCCGGGTAAAGCAGCCCATGCGTTCCGGAGCCGACGTCTTGGCTGGCGTCTGTGGCACCCGCTGCCCCTGCCCGCCCCTTCCCCCGGTTTGGAAGGGTGCGACGACGGCGCCCGATGGGTGAATTGAATCGCCTGGGCGTTCCGGGAGCGGGAAGGCACCGCGAACGGCAGGGAACCCAGCGGCTGCGCCTTTGGGGTCCGGCCCCCTGCCCTCCCAGGCTGGAGCCGGGCTCCTGGCGGGGCGGCGGCGAGGCGGAAGCGGTGGGATGCTGCTGCCCGGCCGGCGTGCAGTAGGGGCGGACCCCCAGCAGGAGGACCCCGGCTGCGGCTGCGGCGGGGGTGTAGGTGGGCGGTAAAGGGGGAGCAGAGTCAGGGGAGGTTGGGAAGCATGGCGACTGTGGGGGGAAGGGAGGCAGCGGGGAAGCCACAAAAGCCTACAGCAGGCCGGGCGGGCGCGGTGGCTCGCGCCTGTAATCCCAGCACTCTGGGAGGCCGAGGCGGGTGGATCACGAGGTCAGGAGCTCCAGACCATCCCGGCTAACAGGGTGAAAGCCCGTCTCTAGGAAAAATAGAACAAAGTAGCCGGGCGTGGTGGCGGGCGCCTGTAGGCCCAGCTACTCGGGAGGCTGAGGCCGGGGAATGGCGTGAACCCGGGAGGCGGAGCTTGCAGTGAGCCGAGATGGCGCCACTGCACTCCAGCCTGGGCGACAGGGCGAGACTCCGTCTGGAAGAAAAGGAAAGAAACAGCAAAAAGCCAAAGAAAAAGCCTACAGCACCCGGTATTCCCAGGCGGTCTCCCATCCAAGTACTAACCAGGCCCGACCCTGCTTAGCTTCCGAGATCAGACGAGATCGGGCGCGTTCAGGGTGGTATGGCCGTAGACGCTGAAGGAGGCGCCTGGCTGCCCCAAGAGCCCAGCCCGGCCCGGCCGTGCCCGCCGGATTGCAGCCGACACCGCCAGCCCGGGGCCGCGGGGCTCGGATCGGGGACCCCCGAGCCGCTGGCCCGCGGCCTTCCCCCGGCTCCCGCGCTCCCGAGCTTCCACCACATCGGGCCCGCTCGGAGCAGGGAGTGCTCCGAGGCGTCAGGGCCCAGGGCCCACGATCCTGGGACGCCCTCCGGTCCTCCGCCCTGTCGCGGAGGCAGCGTTTTGGATCCCTCGCCGCACAGGGGCTCCTGCGAGGCCCCCTCTTGCCCCACCCACCCAGAGCCGTCAGGGCTGGCCGAAGGCGAACAGCCGGCCCAGCCGCGCGGGGCCTTTCTCTCACAACGCCCCCACCACGGTCGCTTGTCCCGACCAAGACCCGGCCGGGGGGGCAAGAGGGCGTGGGGTGTAGCGGGTCGGGGGGTGGCCCTGTTTTGCCCCGGGCTGGCACTAGAGGCGGCGGCCTGATCTCGGGTGAGAGGGCCTGAGAGAAACCCAGACACACCCCACCGCCACCAGGAGCAAATCCACTCCCCCACACACAGACACACCCGGGCGCGCTCGCACGCGCGCGCGCGGACACACACGCACACACACACACACACAGACACACACGCACACACGCACGCGCACACGCACGCACACACACACGCGGCTTGAAGGAGAGCAAGGACGAGATGGATGGAGAGATAGAAACCGAGGGAGGGAGAGAGACAGCGATCGAGAGAGACAGGGGAGGGCGAGAGGGAAGGAGACAGACAGAGAGGCTGAGAAAGAGAGAGGCACAGAGAAAGAGAGAGAGAGAGACAGAGAGACAGAGGGAAAACGACAGAAGTAGCGCGAGGTCCAGGGGGAAACCCAGAAGAGAGAGGCGGAGGGAGCTAGAGAGCGAGAGCGATAGAGCCTTAGAGAGGAAGCGCCCGGCTCCGTTAGGCAGCGCCCTCTTGAGCAGGCCGGGATAGGGTGGAGGGGGCTTGGGCTGCGCCCAGAACACGGGGGCCAGGCGGTCCGTGCGAGAGGACCAACGGAGCGCTGAGGCGGGCGTTTTCTTGGATGAATTGCTTGCTTTGGAGGTGGGTTTCGTAGGCTCCTGCCTTTCTTGGCACCTCCCTGTGCTCTGGGTGCCTTGCGGCGGGCCCCGAGATTTGCAGAGCGCGCCCGCCCGTTTGGCGGGAGCCGTGGCACCGGGCGGGCCCGGAGGCCTGGGTCTCTGGCGAGTCCTCGGGACTGGAGTCGTCGACACGAAGCGGGGGGCATTGGGAATCCCGGGTGCACAGGGCCTGTTTTCCCGGTGGCTGGCGAAGCAATGTCCTTCCCCCGGGTAAAGCAGCCCATGCGTTCCGGAGCCGACGTCTTGGCTGGCGTCTGTGGCACCCGCTGCCCCTGCCCGCCCCTTCCCCCGGTTTGGAAGGGTGCGACGACGGCGCCCGATGGGTGAATTGAATCGCCTGGGCGTTCCGGGAGCGGGAAGGCACCGCGAACGGCAGGGAACCCAGCGGCTGCGCCTTTGGGGTCCGGCCCCCTGCCCTCCCAGGCTGGAGCCGGGCTCCTGGCGGGGCGGCGGCGAGGCGGAAGCGGTGGGATGCTGCTGCCCGGCCGGCGTGCAGTAGGGGCGGACCCCCAGCAGGAGGACCCCGGCTGCGGCTGCGGCGGGGGTGTAGGTGGGCGGTAAAGGGGGAGCAGAGTCAGGGGAGGTTGGGAAGCATGGCGACTGTGGGGGGAAGGGAGGCAGCGGGGAAGCCACAAAAGCCTACAGCAGGCCGGGCGGGCGCGGTGGCTCGCGCCTGTAATCCCAGCACTCTGGGAGGCCGAGGCGGGTGGATCACGAGGTCAGGAGCTCCAGACCATCCCGGCTAACAGGGTGAAAGCCCGTCTCTAGGAAAAATAGAACAAAGTAGCCGGGCGTGGTGGCGGGCGCCTGTAGGCCCAGCTACTCGGGAGGCTGAGGCCGGGGAATGGCGTGAACCCGGGAGGCGGAGCTTGCAGTGAGCCGAGATGGCGCCACTGCACTCCAGCCTGGGCGACAGGGCGAGACTCCGTCTGGAAGAAAAGGAAAGAAACAGCAAAAAGCCAAAGAAAAAGCCTACAGCACCCGGTATTCCCAGGCGGTCTCCCATCCAAGTACTAACCAGGCCCGACCCTGCTTAGCTTCCGAGATCAGACGAGATCGGGCGCGTTCAGGGTGGTATGGCCGTAGACGCTGAAGGAGGCGCCTGGCTGCCCCAAGAGCCCAGCCCGGCCCGGCCGTGCCCGCCGGATTGCAGCCGACACCGCCAGCCCGGGGCCGCGGGGCTCGGATCGGGGACCCCCGAGCCGCTGGCCCGCGGCCTTCCCCCGGCTCCCGCGCTCCCGAGCTTCCACCACATCGGGCCCGCTCGGAGCAGGGAGTGCTCCGAGGCGTCAGGGCCCAGGGCCCACGATCCTGGGACGCCCTCCGGTCCTCCGCCCTGTCGCGGAGGCAGCGTTTTGGATCCCTCGCCGCACAGGGGCTCCTGCGAGGCCCCCTCTTGCCCCACCCACCCAGAGCCGTCAGGGCTGGCCGAAGGCGAACAGCCGGCCCAGCCGCGCGGGGCCTTTCTCTCACAACGCCCCCACCACGGTCGCTTGTCCCGACCAAGACCCGGCCGGGGGGGCAAGAGGGCGTGGGGTGTAGCGGGTCGGGGGGTGGCCCTGTTTTGCCCCGGGCTGGCACTAGAGGCGGCGGCCTGATCTCGGGTGAGAGGGCCTGAGAGAAACCCAGACACACCCCACCGCCACCAGGAGCAAATCCACTCCCCCACACACAGACACACCCGGGCGCGCTCGCACGCGCGCGCGCGGACACACACGCACACACACACACACACAGACACACACGCACACACGCACGCGCACACGCACGCACACACACACGCGGCTTGAAGGAGAGCAAGGACGAGATGGATGGAGAGATAGAAACCGAGGGAGGGAGAGAGACAGCGATCGAGAGAGACAGGGGAGGGCGAGAGGGAAGGAGACAGACAGAGAGGCTGAGAAAGAGAGAGGCACAGAGAAAGAGAGAGAGAGAGACAGAGAGACAGAGGGAAAACGACAGAAGTAGCGCGAGGTCCAGGGGGAAACCCAGAAGAGAGAGGCGGAGGGAGCTAGAGAGCGAGAGCGATAGAGCCTTAGAGAGGAAGCGCCCGGCTCCGTTAGGCAGCGCCCTCTTGAGCAGGCCGGGATAGGGTGGAGGGGGCTTGGGCTGCGCCCAGAACACGGGGGCCAGGCGGTCCGTGCGAGAGGACCAACGGAGCGCTGAGGCGGGCGTTTTCTTGGATGAATTGCTTGCTTTGGAGGTGGGTTTCGTAGGCTCCTGCCTTTCTTGGCACCTCCCTGTGCTCTGGGTGCCTTGCGGCGGGCCCCGAGATTTGCAGAGCGCGCCCGCCCGTTTGGCGGGAGCCGTGGCACCGGGCGGGCCCGGAGGCCTGGGTCTCTGGCGAGTCCTCGGGACTGGAGTCGTCGACACGAAGCGGGGGGCATTGGGAATCCCGGGTGCACAGGGCCTGTTTTCCCGGTGGCTGGCGAAGCAATGTCCTTCCCCCGGGTAAAGCAGCCCATGCGTTCCGGAGCCGACGTCTTGGCTGGCGTCTGTGGCACCCGCTGCCCCTGCCCGCCCCTTCCCCCGGTTTGGAAGGGTGCGACGACGGCGCCCGATGGGTGAATTGAATCGCCTGGGCGTTCCGGGAGCGGGAAGGCACCGCGAACGGCAGGGAACCCAGCGGCTGCGCCTTTGGGGTCCGGCCCCCTGCCCTCCCAGGCTGGAGCCGGGCTCCTGGCGGGGCGGCGGCGAGGCGGAAGCGGTGGGATGCTGCTGCCCGGCCGGCGTGCAGTAGGGGCGGACCCCCAGCAGGAGGACCCCGGCTGCGGCTGCGGCGGGGGTGTAGGTGGGCGGTAAAGGGGGAGCAGAGTCAGGGGAGGTTGGGAAGCATGGCGACTGTGGGGGGAAGGGAGGCAGCGGGGAAGCCACAAAAGCCTACAGCAGGCCGGGCGGGCGCGGTGGCTCGCGCCTGTAATCCCAGCACTCTGGGAGGCCGAGGCGGGTGGATCACGAGGTCAGGAGCTCCAGACCATCCCGGCTAACAGGGTGAAAGCCCGTCTCTAGGAAAAATAGAACAAAGTAGCCGGGCGTGGTGGCGGGCGCCTGTAGGCCCAGCTACTCGGGAGGCTGAGGCCGGGGAATGGCGTGAACCCGGGAGGCGGAGCTTGCAGTGAGCCGAGATGGCGCCACTGCACTCCAGCCTGGGCGACAGGGCGAGACTCCGTCTGGAAGAAAAGGAAAGAAACAGCAAAAAGCCAAAGAAAAAGCCTACAGCACCCGGTATTCCCAGGCGGTCTCCCATCCAAGTACTAACCAGGCCCGACCCTGCTTAGCTTCCGAGATCAGACGAGATCGGGCGCGTTCAGGGTGGTATGGCCGTAGACGCTGAAGGAGGCGCCTGGCTGCCCCAAGAGCCCAGCCCGGCCCGGCCGTGCCCGCCGGATTGCAGCCGACACCGCCAGCCCGGGGCCGCGGGGCTCGGATCGGGGACCCCCGAGCCGCTGGCCCGCGGCCTTCCCCCGGCTCCCGCGCTCCCGAGCTTCCACCACATCGGGCCCGCTCGGAGCAGGGAGTGCTCCGAGGCGTCAGGGCCCAGGGCCCACGATCCTGGGACGCCCTCCGGTCCTCCGCCCTGTCGCGGAGGCAGCGTTTTGGATCCCTCGCCGCACAGGGGCTCCTGCGAGGCCCCCTCTTGCCCCACCCACCCAGAGCCGTCAGGGCTGGCCGAAGGCGAACAGCCGGCCCAGCCGCGCGGGGCCTTTCTCTCACAACGCCCCCACCACGGTCGCTTGTCCCGACCAAGACCCGGCCGGGGGGGCAAGAGGGCGTGGGGTGTAGCGGGTCGGGGGGTGGCCCTGTTTTGCCCCGGGCTGGCACTAGAGGCGGCGGCCTGATCTCGGGTGAGAGGGCCTGAGAGAAACCCAGACACACCCCACCGCCACCAGGAGCAAATCCACTCCCCCACACACAGACACACCCGGGCGCGCTCGCACGCGCGCGCGCGGACACACACGCACACACACACACACACAGACACACACGCACACACGCACGCGCACACGCACGCACACACACACGCGGCTTGAAGGAGAGCAAGGACGAGATGGATGGAGAGATAGAAACCGAGGGAGGGAGAGAGACAGCGATCGAGAGAGACAGGGGAGGGCGAGAGGGAAGGAGACAGACAGAGAGGCTGAGAAAGAGAGAGGCACAGAGAAAGAGAGAGAGAGAGACAGAGAGACAGAGGGAAAACGACAGAAGTAGCGCGAGGTCCAGGGGGAAACCCAGAAGAGAGAGGCGGAGGGAGCTAGAGAGCGAGAGCGATAGAGCCTTAGAGAGGAAGCGCCCGGCTCCGTTAGGCAGCGCCCTCTTGAGCAGGCCGGGATAGGGTGGAGGGGGCTTGGGCTGCGCCCAGAACACGGGGGCCAGGCGGTCCGTGCGAGAGGACCAACGGAGCGCTGAGGCGGGCGTTTTCTTGGATGAATTGCTTGCTTTGGAGGTGGGTTTCGTAGGCTCCTGCCTTTCTTGGCACCTCCCTGTGCTCTGGGTGCCTTGCGGCGGGCCCCGAGATTTGCAGAGCGCGCCCGCCCGTTTGGCGGGAGCCGTGGCACCGGGCGGGCCCGGAGGCCTGGGTCTCTGGCGAGTCCTCGGGACTGGAGTCGTCGACACGAAGCGGGGGGCATTGGGAATCCCGGGTGCACAGGGCCTGTTTTCCCGGTGGCTGGCGAAGCAATGTCCTTCCCCCGGGTAAAGCAGCCCATGCGTTCCGGAGCCGACGTCTTGGCTGGCGTCTGTGGCACCCGCTGCCCCTGCCCGCCCCTTCCCCCGGTTTGGAAGGGTGCGACGACGGCGCCCGATGGGTGAATTGAATCGCCTGGGCGTTCCGGGAGCGGGAAGGCACCGCGAACGGCAGGGAACCCAGCGGCTGCGCCTTTGGGGTCCGGCCCCCTGCCCTCCCAGGCTGGAGCCGGGCTCCTGGCGGGGCGGCGGCGAGGCGGAAGCGGTGGGATGCTGCTGCCCGGCCGGCGTGCAGTAGGGGCGGACCCCCAGCAGGAGGACCCCGGCTGCGGCTGCGGCGGGGTGTAGGTGGGCGGTAAAGGGGAGCAGAGTCAGGGGAGGTTGGGAAGCATGGCGACTGTGGGGGGAAGGGAGGCAGCGGGGAAGCCACAAAAGCCTACAGCAGGCCGGGCGGGCGCGGTGGCTCGCGCCTGTAATCCCAGCACTCTGGGAGGCCGAGGCGGGTGGATCACGAGGTCAGGAGCTCCAGACCATCCCGGCTAACAGGGTGAAAGCCCGTCTCTAGGAAAAATAGAACAAAGTAGCCGGGCGTGGTGGCGGGCGCCTGTAGGCCCAGCTACTCGGGAGGCTGAGGCCGGGGAATGGCGTGAACCCGGGAGGCGGAGCTTGCAGTGAGCCGAGATGGCGCCACTGCACTCCAGCCTGGGCGACAGGGCGAGACTCCGTCTGGAAGAAAAGGAAAGAAACAGCAAAAAGCCAAAGAAAAAGCCTACAGCACCCGGTATTCCCAGGCGGTCTCCCATCCAAGTACTAACCAGGCCCGACCCTGCTTAGCTTCCGAGATCAGACGAGATCGGGCGCGTTCAGGGTGGTATGGCCGTAGACGCTGAAGGAGGCGCCTGGCTGCCCCAAGAGCCCAGCCCGGCCCGGCCGTGCCCGCCGGATTGCAGCCGACACCGCCAGCCCGGGGCCGCGGGGCTCGGATCGGGGACCCCCGAGCCGCTGGCCCGCGGCCTTCCCCCGGCTCCCGCGCTCCCGAGCTTCCACCACATCGGGCCCGCTCGGAGCAGGGAGTGCTCCGAGGCGTCAGGGCCCAGGGCCCACGATCCTGGGACGCCCTCCGGTCCTCCGCCCTGTCGCGGAGGCAGCGTTTTGGATCCCTCGCCGCACAGGGGCTCCTGCGAGGCCCCCTCTTGCCCCACCCACCCAGAGCCGTCAGGGCTGGCCGAAGGCGAACAGCCGGCCCAGCCGCGCGGGGCCTTTCTCTCACAACGCCCCCACCACGGTCGCTTGTCCCGACCAAGACCCGGCCGGGGGGCAAGAGGGCGTGGGGTGTAGCGGGTCGGGGGGTGGCCCTGTTTTGCCCCGGGCTGGCACTAGAGGCGGCGGCCTGATCTCGGGTGAGAGGGCCTGAGAGAAACCCAGACACACCCCACCGCCACCAGGAGCAAATCCACTCCCCCACACACAGACACACCCGGGCGCGCTCGCACGCGCGCGCGCGGACACACACGCACACACACACACACACAGACACACACGCACACACGCACGCGCACACGCACGCACACACACACGCGGCTTGAAGGAGAGCAAGGACGAGATGGATGGAGAGATAGAAACCGAGGGAGGGAGAGAGACAGCGATCGAGAGAGACAGGGGAGGGCGAGAGGGAAGGAGACAGACAGAGAGGCTGAGAAAGAGAGAGGCACAGAGAAAGAGAGAGAGAGAGACAGAGAGACAGAGGGAAAACGACAGAAGTAGCGCGAGGTCCAGGGGGAAACCCAGAAGAGAGAGGCGGAGGGAGCTAGAGAGCGAGAGCGATAGAGCCTTAGAGAGGAAGCGCCCGGCTCCGTTAGGCAGCGCCCTCTTGAGCAGGCCGGGATAGGGTGGAGGGGGCTTGGGCTGCGCCCAGAACACGGGGGCCAGGCGGTCCGTGCGAGAGGACCAACGGAGCGCTGAGGCGGGCGTTTTCTTGGATGAATTGCTTGCTTTGGAGGTGGGTTTCGTAGGCTCCTGCCTTTCTTGGCACCTCCCTGTGCTCTGGGTGCCTTGCGGCGGGCCCCGAGATTTGCAGAGCGCGCCCGCCCGTTTGGCGGGAGCCGTGGCACCGGGCGGGCCCGGAGGCCTGGGTCTCTGGCGAGTCCTCGGGACTGGAGTCGTCGACACGAAGCGGGGGGCATTGGGAATCCCGGGTGCACAGGGCCTGTTTTCCCGGTGGCTGGCGAAGCAATGTCCTTCCCCGGGTAAAGCAGCCCATGCGTTCCGGAGCCGACGTCTTGGCTGGCGTCTGTGGCACCCGCTGCCCCTGCCCGCCCCTTCCCCCGGTTTGGAAGGGTGCGACGACGGCGCCCGATGGGTGAATTGAATCGCCTGGGCGTTCCGGGAGCGGGAAGGCACCGCGAACGGCAGGGAACCCAGCGGCTGCGCCTTTGGGGTCCGGCCCCCTGCCCTCCCAGGCTGGAGCCGGGCTCCTGGCGGGGCGGCGGCGAGGCGGAAGCGGTGGGATGCTGCTGCCCGGCCGGCGTGCAGTAGGGCGGACCCCCAGCAGGAGGACCCCGGCTGCGGCTGCGGCGGGGGTGTAGGTGGGCGGTAAAGGCGGAGCAGAGTCAGGGGAGGTTGGGAAGCATGGCGACTGTGGGGGGAAGGGAGGCAGCGGGGAAGCCACAAAAGCCTACAGCAGGCCGGGCGGGCGCGGTGGCTCGCGCCTGTAATCCCAGCACTCTGGGAGGCCGAGGCGGGTGGATCACGAGGTCAGGAGCTCCAGACCATCCCGGCTAACAGGGTGAAAGCCCGTCTCTAGGAAAAATAGAACAAAGTAGCCGGGCGTGGTGGCGGGCGCCTGTAGGCCCAGCTACTCGGGAGGCTGAGGCCGGGGAATGGCGTGAACCCGGGAGGCGGAGCTTGCAGTGAGCCGAGATGGCGCCACTGCACTCCAGCCTGGGCGACAGGGCGAGACTCCGTCTGGAAGAAAAGGAAAGAAACAGCAAAAAGCCAAAGAAAAAGCCTACAGCACCCGGTATTCCCAGGCGGTCTCCCATCCAAGTACTAACCAGGCCCGACCCTGCTTAGCTTCCGAGATCAGACGAGATCGGGCGCGTTCAGGGTGGTATGGCCGTAGACGCTGAAGGAGGCGCCTGGCTGCCCCAAGAGCCCAGCCCGGCCCGGCCGTGCCCGCCGGATTGCAGCCGACACCGCCAGCCCGGGGCCGCGGGGCTCGGATCGGGGACCCCCGAGCCGCTGGCCCGCGGCCTTCCCCCGGCTCCCGCGCTCCCGAGCTTCCACCACATCGGGCCCCGCTCGGAGCAGGGAGTGCTCCGAGGCGTCAGGGCCCAGGGCCCACGATCCTGGGACGCCCTCCGGTCCTCCGCCCTGTCGCGGAGGCAGCGTTTTGGATCCCTCGCCGCACAGGGGCTCCTGCGAGGCCCCCTCTTGCCCCACCCACCCAGAGCCGTCAGGGCTGGCCGAAGGCGAACAGCCGGCCCAGCCGCGCGGGGCCTTTCTCTCACAACGCCCCCACCACGGTCGCTTGTCCCGACCAAGACCCGGCCGGGGGGGCAAGAGGGCGTGGGGTGTAGCGGGTCGGGGGGTGGCCCTGTTTTGCCCCGGGCTGGCACTAGAGGCGGCGGCCTGATCTCGGGTGAGAGGGCCTGAGAGAAACCCAGACACACCCCACCGCCACCAGGAGCAAATCCACTCCCCCACACACAGACACACCCGGGCGCGCTCGCACGCGCGCGCGCGGACACACACGCACACACACACACACACAGACACACACGCACACACGCACGCGCACACGCACGCACACACACACGCGGCTTGAAGGAGAGCAAGGACGAGATGGATGGAGAGATAGAAACCGAGGGAGGGAGAGAGACAGCGATCGAGAGAGACAGGGGAGGGCGAGAGGGAAGGAGACAGACAGAGAGGCTGAGAAAGAGAGAGGCACAGAGAAAGAGAGAGAGAGAGACAGAGAGACAGAGGGAAAACGACAGAAGTAGCGCGAGGTCCAGGGGGAAACCCAGAAGAGAGAGGCGGAGGGAGCTAGAGAGCGAGAGCGATAGAGCCTTAGAGAGGAAGCGCCCGGCTCCGTTAGGCAGCGCCCTCTTGAGCAGGCCGGGATAGGGTGGAGGGGGCTTGGGCTGCGCCCAGAACACGGGGGCCAGGCGGTCCGTGCGAGAGGACCAACGGAGCGCTGAGGCGGGCGTTTTCTTGGATGAATTGCTTGCTTTGGAGGTGGGTTTCGTAGGCTCCTGCCTTTCTTGGCACCTCCCTGTGCTCTGGGTGCCTTGCGGCGGGCCCCGAGATTTGCAGAGCGCGCCCGCCCGTTTGGCGGGAGCCGTGGCACCGGGCGGGCCCGGAGGCCTGGGTCTCTGGCGAGTCCTCGGGACTGGAGTCGTCGACACGAAGCGGGGGCATTGGGAATCCCGGGTGCACAGGGCCTGTTTTCCCGGTGGCTGGCGAAGCAATGTCCTTCCCCCGGGTAAAGCAGCCCATGCGTTCCGGAGCCGACGTCTTGGCTGGCGTCTGTGGCACCCGCTGCCCCTGCCCGCCCCTTCCCCCGGTTTGGAAGGGTGCGACGACGGCGCCCGATGGGTGAATTGAATCGCCTGGGCGTTCCGGGAGCGGGAAGGCACCGCGAACGGCAGGGAACCCAGCGGCTGCGCCTTTGGGGTCCGGCCCCCTGCCCTCCCAGGCTGGAGCCGGGCTCCTGGCGGGGCGGCGGCGAGGCGGAAGCGGTGGGATGCTGCTGCCCGGCCGGCGTGCAGTAGGGGCGGACCCCCAGCAGGAGGACCCCGGCTGCGGCTGCGGCGGGGGTGTAGGTGGGCGGTAAAGGGGAGCAGAGTCAGGGGAGGTTGGGAAGCATGGCGACTGTGGGGGGAAGGGAGGCAGCGGGGAAGCCACAAAAGCCTACAGCAGGCCGGGCGGGCGCGGTGGCTCGCGCCTGTAATCCCAGCACTCTGGGAGGCCGAGGCGGGTGGATCACGAGGTCAGGAGCTCCAGACCATCCCGGCTAACAGGGTGAAAGCCCGTCTCTAGGAAAAATAGAACAAAGTAGCCGGGCGTGGTGGCGGGCGCCTGTAGGCCCAGCTACTCGGGAGGCTGAGGCCGGGGAATGGCGTGAACCCGGGAGGCGGAGCTTGCAGTGAGCCGAGATGGCGCCACTGCACTCCAGCCTGGGCGACAGGGCGAGACTCCGTCTGGAAGAAAAGGAAAGAAACAGCAAAAAGCCAAAGAAAAAGCCTACAGCACCCGGTATTCCCAGGCGGTCTCCCATCCAAGTACTAACCAGGCCCGACCCTGCTTAGCTTCCGAGATCAGACGAGATCGGGGCGCGTTCAGGGTGGTATGGCCGTAGACGCTGAAGGAGGCGCCTGGCTGCCCCAAGAGCCCAGCCCGGCCCGGCCGTGCCCGCCGGATTGCAGCCGACACCGCCAGCCCGGGGCCGCGGGGCTCGGATCGGGGACCCCCGAGCCGCTGGCCCGCGGCCTTCCCCCGGCTCCCGCGCTCCCGAGCTTCCACCACATCGGGCCCGCTCGGAGCAGGGAGTGCTCCGAGGCGTCAGGGCCCAGGGCCCACGATCCTGGGACGCCCTCCGGTCCTCCGCCCTGTCGCGGAGGCAGCGTTTTGGATCCCTCGCCGCACAGGGGCTCCTGCGAGGCCCCCTCTTGCCCCACCCACCCAGAGCCGTCAGGGCTGGCCGAAGGCGAACAGCCGGCCCAGCCGCGCGGGGCCTTTCTCTCACAACGCCCCCACCACGGTCGCTTGTCCCGACCAAGACCCGGCCGGGGGGCAAGAGGGCGTGGGGTGTAGCGGGTCGGGGGGTGGCCCTGTTTTGCCCCGGGCTGGCACTAGAGGCGGCGGCCTGATCTCGGGTGAGAGGGCCTGAGAGAAACCCAGACACACCCCACCGCCACCAGGAGCAAATCCACTCCCCCACACACAGACACACCCGGGCGCGCTCGCACGCGCGCGCGCGGACACACACGCACACACACACACACACAGACACACACGCACACACGCACGCGCACACGCACGCACACACACACGCGGCTTGAAGGAGAGCAAGGACGAGATGGATGGAGAGATAGAAACCGAGGGAGGGAGAGAGACAGCGATCGAGAGAGACAGGGGAGGGCGAGAGGGAAGGAGACAGACAGAGAGGCTGAGAAAGAGAGAGGCACAGAGAAAGAGAGAGAGAGAGACAGAGAGACAGAGGGAAAACGACAGAAGTAGCGCGAGGTCCAGGGGGAAACCCAGAAGAGAGAGGCGGAGGGAGCTAGAGAGCGAGAGCGATAGAGCCTTAGAGAGGAAGCGCCCGGCTCCGTTAGGCAGCGCCCTCTTGAGCAGGCCGGGATAGGGTGGAGGGGGCTTGGGCTGCGCCCAGAACACGGGGGCCAGGCGGTCCGTGCGAGAGGACCAACGGAGCGCTGAGGCGGGCGTTTTCTTGGATGAATTGCTTGCTTTGGAGGTGGGTTTCGTAGGCTCCTGCCTTTCTTGGCACCTCCCTGTGCTCTGGGTGCCTTGCGGCGGGCCCCGAGATTTGCAGAGCGCGCCCGCCCGTTTGGCGGGAGCCGTGGCACCGGGCGGGCCCGGAGGCCTGGGTCTCTGGCGAGTCCTCGGGACTGGAGTCGTCGACACGAAGCGGGGGGCATTGGGAATCCCGGGTGCACAGGGCCTGTTTTCCCGGTGGCTGGCGAAGCAATGTCCTTCCCCCGGGTAAAGCAGCCCATGCGTTCCGGAGCCGACGTCTTGGCTGGCGTCTGTGGCACCCGCTGCCCCTGCCCGCCCCTTCCCCCGGTTTGGAAGGGTGCGACGACGGCGCCCGATGGGTGAATTGAATCGCCTGGGCGTTCCGGGAGCGGGAAGGCACCGCGAACGGCAGGGAACCCAGCGGCTGCGCCTTTGGGGTCCGGCCCCCTGCCCTCCCAGGCTGGAGCCGGGCTCCTGGCGGGGCGGCGGCGAGGCGGAAGCGGTGGGATGCTGCTGCCCGGCCGGCGTGCAGTAGGGGCGGACCCCCAGCAGGAGGACCCGGCTGCGGCTGCGGCGGGGTGTAGGTGGGCGGTAAAGGGGGAGCAGAGTCAGGGGAGGTTGGGAAGCATGGCGACTGTGGGGGGAAGGGAGGCAGCGGGGAAGCCACAAAAGCCTACAGCAGGCCGGGCGGGCGCGGTGGCTCGCGCCTGTAATCCCAGCACTCTGGGAGGCCGAGGCGGGTGGATCACGAGGTCAGGAGCTCCAGACCATCCCGGCTAACAGGGTGAAAGCCCGTCTCTAGGAAAAATAGAACAAAGTAGCCGGGCGTGGTGGCGGGCGCCTGTAGGCCCAGCTACTCGGGAGGCTGAGGCCGGGGAATGGCGTGAACCCGGGAGGCGGAGCTTGCAGTGAGCCGAGATGGCGCCACTGCACTCCAGCCTGGGCGACAGGGCGAGACTCCGTCTGGAAGAAAAGGAAAGAAACAGCAAAAAGCCAAAGAAAAAGCCTACAGCACCCGGTATTCCCAGGCGGTCTCCCATCCAAGTACTAACCAGGCCCGACCCTGCTTAGCTTCCGAGATCAGACGAGATCGGGCGCGTTCAGGGTGGTATGGCCGTAGACGCTGAAGGAGGCGCCTGGCTGCCCCAAGAGCCCAGCCCGGCCCGGCCGTGCCCGCCGGATTGCAGCCGACACCGCCAGCCCGGGGCCGCGGGGCTCGGATCGGGGACCCCCGAGCCGCTGGCCCGCGGCCTTCCCCCGGCTCCCGCGCTCCCGAGCTTCCACCACATCGGGCCCGCTCGGAGCAGGGAGTGCTCCGAGGCGTCAGGGCCCAGGGCCCACGATCCTGGGACGCCCTCCGGTCCTCCGCCCTGTCGCGGAGGCAGCGTTTTGGATCCCTCGCCGCACAGGGGCTCCTGCGAGGCCCCCTCTTGCCCCACCCACCCAGAGCCGTCAGGGCTGGCCGAAGGCGAACAGCCGGCCCAGCCGCGCGGGGCCTTTCTCTCACAACGCCCCCACCACGGTCGCTTGTCCCGACCAAGACCCGGCCGGGGGGCAAGAGGGCGTGGGGTGTAGCGGGTCGGGGGGTGGCCCTGTTTTGCCCCGGGCTGGCACTAGAGGCGGCGGCCTGATCTCGGGTGAGAGGGCCTGAGAGAAACCCAGACACACCCCACCGCCACCAGGAGCAAATCCACTCCCCCACACACAGACACACCCGGGCGCGCTCGCACGCGCGCGCGCGGACACACACGCACACACACACACACACAGACACACACGCACACACGCACGCGCACACGCACGCACACACACACGCGGCTTGAAGGAGAGCAAGGACGAGATGGATGGAGAGATAGAAACCGAGGGAGGGAGAGAGACAGCGATCGAGAGAGACAGGGGAGGGCGAGAGGGAAGGAGACAGACAGAGAGGCTGAGAAAGAGAGAGGCACAGAGAAAGAGAGAGAGAGAGACAGAGAGACAGAGGGAAAACGACAGAAGTAGCGCGAGGTCCAGGGGGAACCCAGAAGAGAGAGGCGGAGGGAGCTAGAGAGCGAGAGCGATAGAGCCTTAGAGAGGAAGCGCCCGGCTCCGTTAGGCAGCGCCCTCTTGAGCAGGCCGGGATAGGGTGGAGGGGGCTTGGGCTGCGCCCAGAACACGGGGGCCAGGCGGTCCGTGCGAGAGGACCAACGGAGCGCTGAGGCGGGCGTTTTCTTGGATGAATTGCTTGCTTTGGAGGTGGGTTTCGTAGGCTCCTGCCTTTCTTGGCACCTCCCTGTGCTCTGGGTGCCTTGCGGCGGGCCCGAGATTTGCAGAGCGCGCCCGCCCGTTTGGCGGGAGCCGTGGCACCGGGCGGGCCCGGAGGCCTGGGTCTCTGGCGAGTCCTCGGGACTGGAGTCGTCGACACGAAGCGGGGGCATTGGGAATCCCGGGTGCACAGGGCCTGTTTTCCCGGTGGCTGGCGAAGCAATGTCCTTCCCCCGGGTAAAGCAGCCCATGCGTTCCGGAGCCGACGTCTTGGCTGGCGTCTGTGGCACCCGCTGCCCCTGCCCGCCCCTTCCCCCGGTTTGGAAGGGTGCGACGACGGCGCCCGATGGGTGAATTGAATCGCCTGGGCGTTCCGGGAGCGGGAAGGCACCGCGAACGGCAGGGAACCCAGCGGCTGCGCCTTTGGGGTCCGGCCCCCTGCCCTCCCAGGCTGGAGCCGGGCTCCTGGCGGGGCGGCGGCGAGGCGGAAGCGGTGGGATGCTGCTGCCCGGCCGGCGTGCAGTAGGGCGGACCCCCAGCAGGAGGACCCCGGCTGCGGCTGCGGCGGGGTGTAGGTGGGCGGTAAAGGGGAGCAGAGTCAGGGGAGGTTGGGAAGCATGGCGACTGGGGGGAAGGGAGGCAGCGGGGAAGCCACAAAAGCCTACAGCAGGCCGGGCGGGCGCGGTGGCTCGCGCCTGTAATCCCAGCACTCTGGGAGGCCGAGGCGGTGGATCACGAGGTCAGGAGCTCCAGACCATCCCGGCTAACAGGGTGAAAGCCCGTCTCTAGGAAAAATAGAACAAAGTAGCCGGGCGTGGTGGCGGGCGCCTGTAGGCCCAGCTACTCGGGAGGCTGAGGCCGGGGAATGGCGTGAACCCGGGAGGCGGAGCTTGCAGTGAGCCGAGATGGCGCCACTGCACTCCAGCCTGGGCGACAGGGCGAGACTCCGTCTGGAAGAAAAGGAAAGAAACAGCAAAAAGCCAAAGAAAAAGCCTACAGCACCCGGTATTCCCAGGCGGTCTCCCATCCAAGTACTAACCAGGCCCGACCCTGCTTAGCTTCCGAGATCAGACGAGATCGGGCGCGTTCAGGGTGGTATGGCCGTAGACGCTGAAGGAGGCGCCTGGCTGCCCCAAGAGCCCAGCCCGGCCCGGCCGTGCCCGCCGGATTGCAGCCGACACCGCCAGCCCGGGGCCGCGGGGCTCGGATCGGGGACCCCCGAGCCGCTGGCCCGCGGCCTTCCCCGGCTCCCGCGCTCCCGAGCTTCCACCACATCGGGCCCGCTCGGAGCAGGGAGTGCTCCGAGGCGTCAGGGCCCAGGGCCCACGATCCTGGGACGCCCTCCGGTCCTCCGCCCTGTCGCGGAGGCAGCGTTTTGGATCCCTCGCCGCACAGGGGCTCCTGCGAGGCCCCCTCTTGCCCCACCCACCCAGAGCCGTCAGGGCTGGCCGAAGGCGAACAGCCGGCCCAGCCGCGCGGGCCTTTCTCTCACAACGCCCCCACCACGGTCGCTTGTCCCGACCAAGACCCGGCCGGGGGGCAAGAGGCGTGGGTGTAGCGGGTCGGGGGGTGGCCCTGTTTTGCCCCGGGCTGGCACTAGAGGCGGCGGCCTGATCTCGGGTGAGAGGGCCTGAGAGAAACCCAGACACACCCCACCGCCACCAGGAGCAAATCCACTCCCCCACACACAGACACACCCGGGCGCGCTCGCACGCGCGCGCGCGGACACACACGCACACACACACACACACAGACACACACGCACACACGCACGCGCACACGCACGCACACACACACGCGGCTTGAAGGAGAGCAAGGACGAGATGGATGGAGAGATAGAAACCGAGGGAGGGAGAGAGACAGCGATCGAGAGAGACAGGGGAGGGCGAGAGGGAAGGAGACAGACAGAGAGGCTGAGAAAGAGAGAGGCACAGAGAAAGAGAGAGAGAGAGACAGAGAGACAGAGGGAAAACGACAGACAGAAGCGAGCGTCCAGGGGGAAACCCAGAAGAGAGAGGCGGAGGGAGCTAGAGAGCGAGAGCGATAGAGCCTTAGAGAGGAAGCGCCCGGCTCCGTTAGGCAGCGCCCTCTTGAGCAGGCCGGGATAGGGTGGAGGGGGCTTGGGCTGCGCCCAGAACACGGGGGCCAGGCGGTCCGTGCGAGAGGACCAACGGAGCGCTGAGGCGGGCGTTTTCTTGGATGAATTGCTTGCTTTGGAGGTGGGTTTCGTAGGCTCCTGCCTTTCTTGGCACCTCCCTGTGCTCTGGGTGCCTTGCGGCGGGCCCCGAGATTTGCAGAGCGCGCCCGCCCGTTTGGCGGGAGCCGTGGCACCGGGCGGGCCCGGAGGCCTGGGTCTCTGGCGAGTCCTCGGGACTGGAGTCGTCGACACGAAGCGGGGGGCATTGGGAATCCCGGGTGCACAGGGCCTG
The DNA here is from genome assembly GCF_000001405.40 of Homo sapiens. Taxonomy (NCBI): domain Eukaryota; kingdom Metazoa; phylum Chordata; class Mammalia; order Primates; family Hominidae; genus Homo; species Homo sapiens. Next base: position 193,476 of record NW_018654708.1, read on the forward strand.
TTTTCCCGGTGGCTGGCGAAGCAATGTCCTTCCCCCGGGTAAAGCAGCCCATGCGTTCCGGAGCCGACGTCTTGGCTGGCGTCTGTGGCACCCGCTGCCCCTGCCCGCCCTTCCCCCGGTTTGGAAGGGTGCGACGACGGCGCCCGATGGGTGAATTGAATCGCCTGGGCGTTCCGGGAGCGGGAAGGCACCGCGAACGGCAGGGAACCCAGCGGCTGCGCCTTTGGGGTCCGGCCCCCTGCCCTCCCAGGCTGGAGCCGGGCTCCTGGCGGGGCGGCGGCGAGGCGGAAGCGGTGGGATGCTGCTGCCGGCCGGCGTGCAGTAGGGGCGGACCCCCAGCAGGAGGACCCCGGCTGCGGCTGCGGCGGGGGTGTAGGTGGGCGGTAAAGGGGGAGCAGAGTCAGGGGAGGTTGGGAAGCATGGCGACTGTGGGGGGAAGGGAGGCAGCGGGGAAGCCACAAAAGCCTACAGCAGGCCGGGCGGGCGCGGTGGCTCGCGCCTGTAATCCCAGCACTCTGGGAGGCCGAGGCGGGTGGATCACGAGGTCAGGAGCTCCAGACCATCCCGGCTAACAGGGTGAAAGCCCGTCTCTAGGAAAAATAGAACAAAGTAGCCGGGCGTGGTGGCGGGCGCCTGTAGGCCCAGCTACTCGGGAGGCTGAGGCCGGGGAATGGCGTGAACCCGGGAGGCGGAGCTTGCAGTGAGCCGAGATGGCGCCACTGCACTCCAGCCTGGGCGACAGGGCGAGACTCCGTCTGGAAGAAAAGGAAGAAACAGCAAAAAGCCAAAGAAAAAGCCTACAGCACCCGGTATTCCCAGGCGGTCTCCCATCCAAGTACTAACCAGGCCCGACCCTGCTTAGCTTCCGAGATCAGACGAGATCGGGCGCGTTCAGGGTGGTATGGCCGTAGACGCTGAAGGAGGCGCCTGGCTGCCCCAAGAGCCCAGCCCGGCCCGGCCGTGCCCGCCGGATTGCAGCCGACACCGCCAGCCCGGGGCCGCGGGGCTCGGATCGGGGACCCCCGAGCCGCTGGCCCGCGGCCTTCCCCCGGCTCCCGCGCTCCCGAGCTTCCACCACATCGGGCCCGCTCGGAGCAGGGAGTGCTCCGAGGCGTCAGGGCCCAGGGCCCACGATCCTGGGACGCCCTCCGGTCCTCCGCCCTGTCGCGGAGGCAGCGTTTTGGATCCCTCGCCGCACAGGGGCTCCTGCGAGGCCCCCTCTTGCCCCACCCACCCAGAGCCGTCAGGGCTGGCCGAAGGCGAACAGCCGGCCCAGCCGCGCGGGGCCTTTCTCTCACAACGCCCCCACCACGGTCGCTTGTCCCGACCAAGACCCGGCCGGGGGGCAAGAGGGCGTGGGGTGTAGCGGGTCGGGGGGTGGCCCTGTTTTGCCCCGGGCTGGCACTAGAGGCGGCGGCCTGATCTCGGGTGAGAGGGCCTGAGAGAAACCCAGACACACCCCACCGCCACCAGGAGCAAATCCACTCCCCCACACACAGACACACCCGGCGCGCTCGCACGCGCGCGCGCGGACACACACGCACACACACACACACACAGACACACACGCACACACGCACGCGCACACGCACGCACACACACACGCGGCTTGAAGGAGAGCAAGGACGAGATGGATGGAGAGATAGAAACCGAGGGAGGGAGAGAGACAGCGATCGAGAGAGACAGGGGAGGGCGAGAGGGAAGGAGACAGACAGAGAGGCTGAGAAAGAGAGAGGCACAGAGAAAGAGAGAGAGAGAGACAGAGAGACAGAGGGAAAACGACAGAAGTAGCGCGAGGTCCAGGGGGAAACCCAGAAGAGAGAGGCGGAGGGAGCTAGAGAGCGAGAGCGATAGAGCCTTAGAGAGGAAGCGCCCGGCTCCGTTAGGCAGCGCCCTCTTGAGCAGGCCGGGATAGGGTGGAGGGGGCTTGGGCTGCGCCCAGAACACGGGGGCCAGGCGGTCCGTGCGAGAGGACCAACGGAGCGCTGAGGCGGGCGTTTTCTTGGATGAATTGCTTGCTTTGGAGGTGGGTTTCGTAGGCTCCTGCCTTTCTTGGCACCTCCCTGTGCTCTGGGTGCCTTGCGGCGGGCCCCGAGATTTGCAGAGCGCGCCCGCCCGTTTGGCGGGAGCCGTGGCACCGGGCGGGCCCGGAGGCCTGGGTCTCTGGCGAGTCCTCGGGACTGGAGTCGTCGACACGAAGCGGGGGGCATTGGGAATCCCGGGTGCACAGGGCCTGTTTTCCCGGTGGCTGGCGAAGCAATGTCCTTCCCCCGGGTAAAGCAGCCCATGCGTTCCGGAGCCGACGTCTTGGCTGGCGTCTGTGGCACCCGCTGCCCCTGCCCGCCCCTTCCCCCGGTTTGGAAGGGTGCGACGACGGCGCCCGATGGGTGAATTGAATCGCCTGGGCGTTCCGGGAGCGGGAAGGCACCGCGAACGGCAGGGAACCAGCGGCTGCGCCTTTGGGGTCCGGCCCCCTGCCCTCCCAGGCTGGAGCCGGGCTCCTGGCGGGGCGGCGGCGAGGCGGAAGCGGTGGGATGCTGCTGCCCGGCCGGCGTGCAGTAGGGGCGGACCCCCAGCAGGAGGACCCCGGCTGCGGCTGCGGCGGGGGTGTAGGTGGGCGGTAAAGGGGGAGCAGAGTCAGGGGAGGTTGGGAAGCATGGCGACTGGGGGGAAGGGAGGCAGCGGGGAAGCCACAAAAGCCTACAGCAGGCCGGCGGGCGCGGTGGCTCGCGCCTGTAATCCCAGCACTCTGGGAGGCCGAGGCGGGTGGATCACGAGGTCAGGAGCTCCAGACCATCCCGGCTAACAGGGTGAAAGCCCGTCTCTAGGAAAAATAGAACAAAGTAGCCGGGCGTGGTGGCGGGCGCCTGTAGGCCCAGCTACTCGGGAGGCTGAGGCCGGGGAATGGCGTGAACCCGGGAGGCGGAGCTTGCAGTGAGCCGAGATGGCGCCACTGCACTCCAGCCTGGGCGACAGGGCGAGACTCCGTCTGGAAGAAAAGGAAAGAAACAGCAAAAAGCCAAAGAAAAAGCCTACAGCACCCGGTATTCCCAGGCGGTCTCCCATCCAAGTACTAACCAGGCCCGACCCTGCTTAGCTTCCGAGATCAGACGAGATCGGGCGCGTTCAGGGTGGTATGGCCGTAGACGCTGAAGGAGGCGCCTGGCTGCCCCAAGAGCCCAGCCCGGCCCGGCCGTGCCCGCCGGATTGCAGCCGACACCGCCAGCCCGGGGCGCGGGGCTCGGATCGGGGACCCCCGAGCCGCTGGCCGCGGCCTTCCCCCGGCTCCCGCGCTCCCGAGCTTCCACCACATCGGGCCCGCTCGGAGCAGGGAGTGCTCCGAGGCGTCAGGGCCCAGGGCCCACGATCCCTGGGACGCCTCCGGTCCTCCGCCCTGTCGCGGAGGCAGCGTTTTGGATCCCTCGCCGCACAGGGGCTCCTGCGAGGCCCCCTCTTGCCCCACCCACCCAGAGCCGTCAGGGCTGGCCGAAGGCGAACAGCCGGCCCAGCCGCGCGGGGCCTTTCTCTCACAACGCCCCCACCACGGTCGCTTGTCCCGACCAAGACCCGGCCGGGGGGGCAAGGGCGTGGGGTGTAGCGGGTCGGGGGGTGGCCCTGTTTTGCCCCGGGCTGGCACTAGAGGCGGCGGCCTGATCTCGGGTGAGAGGGCCTGAGAGAAACCCAGACACACCCCACCGCCACCAGGAGCAAATCCACTCCCCCACACACAGACACACCCGGGCGCGCTCGCACGCGCGCGCGCGGACACACACGCACACACACACACACACAGACACACACGCACACACGCACGCGCACACGCACGCACACACACACGCGGCTTGAAGGAGAGCAAGGACGAGATGGATGGAGAGATAGAAACCGAGGGAGGGAGAGAGACAGCGATCGAGAGAGACAGGGGAGGGCGAGAGGGAAGGAGACAGACAGAGAGGCTGAGAAAGAGAGAGGCACAGAGAAAGAGAGAGAGAGAGACAGAGAGACAGAGGGAAAACGACAGAAGTAGCGCGAGGTCCAGGGGGAAACCCAGAAGAGAGAGGCGGAGGGAGCTAGAGAGCGAGAGCGATAGAGCCTTAGAGAGGAAGCGCCCGGCTCCGTTAGGCAGCGCCCTCTTGAGCAGGCCGGGATAGGGTGGAGGGGGCTTGGGCTGCGCCCAGAACACGGGGGCCAGGCGGTCCGTGCGAGAGGACCAACGGAGCGCTGAGGCGGGCGTTTTCTTGGATGAATTGCTTGCTTTGGAGGTGGGTTTCGTAGGCTCCTGCCTTTCTTGGCACCTCCCTGTGCTCTGGGTGCCTTGCGGCGGGCCCCGAGATTTGCAGAGCGCGCCCGCCCGTTTGGCGGGAGCCGTGGCACCGGGCGGGCCCGGAGGCCTGGGTCTCTGGCGAGTCCTCGGGACTGGAGTCGTCGACACGAAGCGGGGGGCATTGGGAATCCCGGGTGCACAGGGCCTGTTTTCCCGGTGGCTGGCGAAGCAATGTCCTTCCCCCGGGTAAAGCAGCCCATGCGTTCCGGAGCCGACGTCTTGGCTGGCGTCTGTGGCACCCGCTGCCCCTGCCCGCCCCTTCCCCCGGTTTGGAAGGGTGCGACGACGGCGCCCGATGGGGTGAATTGAATCGCCTGGGCGTTCCGGGAGCGGGAAGGCACCGCGAACGGCAGGGAACCCAGCGGCTGCGCCTTTGGGGTCCGGCCCCCTGCCCTCCCAGGCTGGAGCCGGGCTCCTGGGGGGCGGCGAGGCGGAAGCGGTGGGATGCTGCTGCCCGGCCGGCGTGCAGTAGGGGCGGACCCCCAGCAGGAGGACCCCGGCTGCGGCTGCGGCGGGGTGTAGGTGGGCGGTAAAGGGGGAGCAGAGTCAGGGGAGGTTGGGAAGCATGGCGACTGTGGGGGGAAGGGAGGCAGCGGGGAAGCCACAAAAGCCTACAGCAGGCCGGGCGGGCGCGGTGGCTCGCGCCTGTAATCCCAGCACTCTGGAGGCCGAGGCGGGTGGATCACGAGGTCAGGAGCTCCAGACCATCCCGGCTAACAGGGTGAAAGCCCGTCTCTAGGAAAAATAGAACAAAGTAGCCGGGCGTGGTGGCGGGCGCCTGTAGGCCCAGCTACTCGGGAGGCTGAGGCCGGGGAATGGCGTGAACCCGGGAGGCGGAGCTTGCAGTGAGCCGAGATGGCGCCACTGCACTCCAGCCTGGGCGACAGGGCGAGACTCCGTCTGGAAGAAAAGGAAAGAAACAGCAAAAAGCCAAAGAAAAAGCCTACAGCACCCGGTATTCCCAGGCGGTCTCCCATCCAAGTACTAACCAGGCCCGACCCTGCTTAGCTTCCGAGATCAGACGAGATCGGGCGCGTTCAGGGTGGTATGGCCGTAGACGCTGAAGAGGCGCCTGGCTGCCCCAAGAGCCCAGCCCGGCCCGGCCGTGCCCGCCGGATTGCAGCCGACACCGCCAGCCCGGGGCCGCGGGGCTCGGATCGGGGACCCCCGAGCCGCTGGCCCGCGGCCTTCCCCCGGCTCCCGCGCTCCCGAGCTTCCACCACATCGGGCCCGCTCGGAGCAGGGAGTGCTCCGAGGCGTCAGGGCCCAGGGCCCACGATCCTGGGACGCCCTCCGGTCCTCCGCCCTGTCGCGGAGGCAGCGTTTTGGATCCCTCGCCGCACAGGGGCTCCTGCGAGGCCCCCTCTTGCCCCACCCACCCAGAGCCGTCAGGGCTGGCCGAAGGCGAACAGCCGGCCCAGCCGCGCGGGGCCTTTCTCTCACAACGCCCCACCACGGTCGCTTGTCCCGACCAAGACCCGGCCGGGGGGGCAAGAGGGCGGGGGTGTAGCGGGTCGGGGGTGGCCCTGTTTTGCCCCGGGCTGGCACTAGAGGCGGCGGCCTGATCTCGGGTGAGAGGGCCTGAGAGAAACCCAGACACACCCCACCGCCACCAGGAGCAAATCCACTCCCCCACACACAGACACACCCGGGCGCGCTCGCACGCGCGCGCGCGGACACACACGCACACACACACACACACAGACACACACGCACACACGCACGCGCACACGCACGCACACACACACGCGGCTTGAAGGAGAGCAAGGACGAGATGGATGGAGAGATAGAAACCGAGGGAGGGAGAGAGACAGCGATCGAGAGAGACAGGGGAGGGCGAGAGGGAAGGAGACAGACAGAGAGGCTGAGAAAGAGAGAGGCACAGAGAAAGAGAGAGAGAGAGACAGAGAGACAGAGGGAAAACGACAGAAGTAGCGCGGTCCAGGGGGAAACCCAGAAGAGAGAGGCGGAGGGAGCTAGAGAGCGAGAGCGATAGAGCCTTAGAGAGGAAGCGCCCGGCTCCGTTAGGCAGCGCCCTCTTGAGCAGGCCGGGATAGGGTGGAGGGGGCTTGGGCTGCGCCCAGAACACGGGGGCCAGGCGGTCCGTGCGAGAGGACCAACGGAGCGCTGAGGCGGGCGTTTTCTTGGATGAATTGCTTGCTTTGGAGGTGGGTTCGTAGGCTCCTGCCTTTCTTGGCACCTCCCTGTGCTCTGGGTGCCTTGCGGCGGGCCCCGAGATTTGCAGAGCGCGCCCGCCCGTTTGGCGGGAGCCGTGGCACCGGGCGGGCCCGGAGGCCTGGGTCTCTGGCGAGTCCTCGGGACTGGAGTCGTCGACACGAAGCGGGGGGCATTGGGAATCCCGGGTGCACAGGGCCTGTTTTCCCGGTGGCTGGCGAAGCAATGTCCTTCCCCCGGGTAAAGCAGCCCATGCGTTCCGGAGCCGACGTCTTGGCTGGCGTCTGTGGCACCCGCTGCCCCTGCCCGCCCCTTCCCCCGGTTTGGAAGGGTGCGACGACGGCGCCCGATGGGTGAATTGAATCGCCTGGGCGTTCCGGGAGCGGGAAGGCACCGCGAACGGCAGGGAACCCAGCGGCTGCGCCTTTGGGGTCCGGCCCCCTGCCCTCCCAGGCTGGAGCCGGGCTCCTGGCGGGGCGGCGAGGCGGAAGCGGTGGGATGCTGCTGCCCGGCCGGCGTGCAGTAGGGGCGGACCCCCAGCAGGAGGACCCCGGCTGCGGCTGCGGCGGGGGTGTAGGTGGGCGGTAAAGGGGAGCAGAGTCAGGGGAGGTTGGGAAGCATGGCGACTGTGGGGGGAAGGGAGGCAGCGGGGAAGCCACAAAAGCCTACAGCAGGCCGGGCGGGCGCGGTGGCTCGCGCCTGTAATCCCAGCACTCTGGGAGGCCGAGGCGGGTGGATCACGAGGTCAGGAGCTCCAGACCATCCCGGCTAACAGGGTGAAAGCCCGTCTCTAGGAAAAATAGAACAAAGTAGCCGGGCGTGGTGGCGGGCGCCTGTAGGCCCAGCTACTCGGGAGGCTGAGGCCGGGGAATGGCGTGAACCCGGGAGGCGGAGCTTGCAGTGAGCGAGATGGCGCCACTGCACTCCAGCCTGGGCGACAGGGCGAGACTCCGTCTGGAAGAAAAGGAAAGAAACAGCAAAAAGCCAAAGAAAAAGCCTACAGCACCCGGTATTCCCAGGCGGTCTCCCATCCAAGTACTAACCAGGCCCGACCCTGCTTAGCTTCCGAGATCAGACGAGATCGGGCGCGTTCAGGGTGGTATGGCCGTAGACGCTGAAGGAGGCGCCTGGCTGCCCCAAGAGCCCAGCCCGGCCCGGCCGTGCCCGCCGGATTGCAGCCGACACCGCCAGCCCGGGGCCGCGGGGCTCGGATCGGGGACCCCCGAGCCGCTGGCCCGCGGCCTTCCCCCGGCTCCCGCGCTCCCGAGCTTCCACCACATCGGGCCCGCTCGGAGCAGGGAGTGCTCCGAGGCGTCAGGGCCCAGGGCCCACGATCCTGGGACGCCCTCCGGTCCTCCGCCCTGTCGCGGAGGCAGCGTTTTGGATCCCTCGCCGCACAGGGGCTCCTGCGAGGCCCCCTCTTGCCCCACCCACCCAGAGCCGTCAGGGCTGGCCGAAGGCGAACAGCCGGCCCAGCCGCGGGGCCTTTCTCTCACAACGCCCCCACCACGGTCGCTTGTCCCGACCAAGACCCGGCCGGGGGGCAAGAGGGCGTGGGGTGTAGCGGGTCGGGGGGTGGCCCTGTTTTGCCCCGGGCTGGCACTAGAGGCGGCGGCCTGATCTCGGGTGAGAGGGCCTGAGAGAAACCCAGACACACCCACCGCCACCAGGAGCAAATCCACTCCCCCACACACAGACACACCCGGGCGCGCTCGCACGCGCGCGCGCGGACACACACGCACACACACACACACAGACACACACGCACACACGCACGCGCACACGCACGCACACACACACGCGGCTTGAAGGAGAGCAAGGACGAGATGGATGGAGAGATAGAAACCGAGGGAGGGAGAGAGACAGCGATCGAGAGAGACAGGGGAGGGCGAGAGGGAAGGAGACAGACAGAGAGGCTGAGAAAGAGAGAGGCACAGAGAAAGAGAGAGAGAGAGACAGAGAGACAGAGGGAAAACGACAAAAGTAGCGCGAGGTCCAGGGGGAAACCCAGAAGAGAGAGGCGGAGGGAGCTAGAGAGCGAGAGCGATAGAGCCTTAGAGAGGAAGCGCCCGGCTCCGTTAGGCAGCGCCCTCTTGAGCAGGCCGGGATAGGGTGGAGGGGGCTTGGGCTGCGCCCAGAACACGGGGGCCAGGCGGTCCGTGCGAGAGGACCAACGGAGCGCTGAGGCGGGCGTTTTCTTGGATGAATTGCTTGCTTTGGAGGTGGGTTTCGTAGGCTCCTGCCTTTCTTGGCACCTCCCTGTGCTCTGGGTGCCTTGCGGCGGGCCCCGAGATTTGCAGAGCGCGCCCGCCCGTTTGGCGGGAGCCGTGGCACCGGGCGGGCCCGGAGGCCTGGGTCTCTGGCGAGTCCTCGGGACTGGAGTCGTCGACACGAAGCGGGGGGCATTGGGAATCCCGGGTGCACAGGGCCTGTTTTCCCGGTGGCTGGCGAAGCAATGTCCTTCCCCCGGGTAAAGCAGCCCATGCGTTCCGGAGCCGACGTCTTGGCTGGCGTCTGTGGCACCCGCTGCCCCTGCCCGCCCCTTCCCCCGGTTTGGAAGGGTGCGACGACGGCGCCCGATGGGTGAATTGAATCGCCTGGGCGTTCCGGGAGCGGGAAGGCACCGCGAACGGCAGGGAACCCAGCGGCTGCGCCTTTGGGGTCCGGCCCCCTGCCCTCCCAGGCTGGAGCCGGGCTCCTGGCGGGGCGGCGGCGAGGCGGAAGCGGTGGGATGCTGCTGCCCGGCCGGCGTGCAGTAGGGGCGGACCCCCAGCAGGAGGACCCCGGCTGCGGCTGCGGCGGGGGTGTAGGTGGGCGGTAAAGGGGAGCAGAGTCAGGGGAGGTTGGGAAGCATGGCGACTGTGGGGGGAAGGGAGGCAGCGGGGAAGCCACAAAAGCCTACAGCAGGCCGGGCGGGCGCGGTGGCTCGCGCCTGTAATCCCAGCACTCTGGGAGGCCGAGGCGGGTGGATCACGAGGTCAGGAGCTCCAGACCATCCCGGCTAACAGGGTGAAAGCCCGTCTCTAGGAAAAATAGAACAAAGTAGCCGGGCGTGGTGGCGGGCGCCTGTAGGCCCAGCTACTCGGGAGGCTGAGGCCGGGGAATGGCGTGAACCCGGGAGGCGGAGCTTGCAGTGAGCCGAGATGGCGCCACTGCACTCCAGCCTGGGCGACAGGGCGAGACTCCGTCTGGAAGAAAAGGAAAAACAGCAAAAAGCCAAAGAAAAAGCCTACAGCACCCGGTATTCCCAGGCGGTCTCCCATCCAAGTACTAACCAGGCCCGACCCTGCTTAGCTTCCGAGATCAGACGAGATCGGGCGCGTTCAGGGTGGTATGGCCGTAGACGCTGAAGGAGGCGCCTGGCTGCCCCAAGAGCCCAGCCCGGCCCGGCCGTGCCCGCCGGATTGCAGCCGACACCGCCAGCCCGGGGCCGCGGGGCTCGGATCGGGGACCCCCGAGCCGCTGGCCCGCGGCCTTCCCCCGGCTCCCGCGCTCCCGAGCTTCCACCACATCGGGCCCGCTCGGAGCAGGGAGTGCTCCGAGGCGTCAGGGCCCAGGGCCCACGATCCTGGGACGCCCTCCGGTCCTCCGCCCTGTCGCGGAGGCAGCGTTTTGGATCCCTCGCCGCACAGGGGCTCCTGCGAGGCCCCCTCTTGCCCCACCCACCCAGAGCCGTCAGGGCTGGCCGAAGGCGAACAGCCGGCCCAGCCGCGCGGGGCCTTTCTCTCACAACGCCCCCACCACGGTCGCTTGTCCCGACCAAGACCCGGCCGGGGGGCAAGAGGGCGTGGGGTGTAGCGGGTCGGGGGGTGGCCCTGTTTTGCCCCGGGCTGGCACTAGAGGCGGCGGCCTGATCTCGGGTGAGAGGGCCTGAGAGAAACCCAGACACACCCCACCGCCACCAGGAGCAAATCCACTCCCCCACACACAGACACACCCGGGGCGCTCGCACGCGCGCGCGCGGACACACACGCACACACACACACACACAGACACACACGCACACACGCACGCGCACACGCACGCACACACACACGCGGCTTGAAGGAGAGCAAGGACGAGATGGATGGAGAGATAGAAACCGAGGGAGGGAGAGAGACAGCGATCGAGAGAGACAGGGGAGGGCGAGAGGGAAGGAGACAGACAGAGAGGCTGAGAAAGAGAGAGGCACAGAGAAAGAGAGAGAGAGAGACAGAGAGACAGAGGGAAAACGACAGAAGTAGCGCGAGGTCCAGGGGGAAACCCAGAAGAGAGAGGCGGAGGGAGCTAGAGAGCGAGAGCGATAGAGCCTTAGAGAGGAAGCGCCCGGCTCCGTTAGGCAGCGCCCTCTTGAGCAGGCCGGGATAGGGTGGAGGGGGCTTGGGCTGCGCCCAGAACACGGGGGCCAGGCGGTCCGTGCGAGAGGACCAACGGAGCGCTGAGGCGGGCGTTTTCTTGGATGAATTGCTTGCTTTGGAGGTGGGTTTCGTAGGCTCCTGCCTTTCTTGGCACCTCCCTGTGCTCTGGGTGCCTTGCGGCGGGCCCCGAGATTTGCAGAGCGCGCCCGCCCGTTTGGCGGGAGCCGTGGCACCGGGCGGGCCCGGAGGCCTGGGTCTCTGGCGAGTCCTCGGGACTGGAGTCGTCGACACGAAGCGGGGGGCATTGGGAATCCCGGGTGCACAGGGCCTGTTTTCCCGGTGGCTGGCGAAGCAATGTCCTTCCCCCGGGTAAAGCAGCCCATGCGTTCGGGAGCCGACGTCTTGGCTGGCGTCTGTGGCACCCGCTGCCCCTGCCCGCCCCTTCCCCCGGTTTGGAAGGGTGCGACGACGGCGCCCGATGGGTGAATTGAATCGCCTGGGCGTTCCGGGAGCGGGAAGGCATCGCGAACGGCAGGGAACCCAGCGGCTGCGCCTTTGGGGTCCGGCCCCCTGCCCTCCCAGGCTGGAGCCGGGCTCCTGGCGGGGCGGCGGCGAGGCGGAAGCGGTGGGATGCTGCTGCCCGGCCTGCGTGCAGTAGGGGCGGACCCCCAGCAGGAGGACCCCGGCTGCGGCTGCGGCGGGGGTGTAGGTGGGCGGTAAAGGGGGAGCAGAGTCAGGGGAGGTTGGGAAGCATGGCGACTGTGGGGGGAAGGGAGGCAGCGGGGAAGCCACAAAAGCCTACAGCAGGCCGGGCGGGCGCGGTGGCTCGCGCCTGTAATCCCAGCACTCTGGGAGGCCGAGGCGGGTGGATCACGAGGTCAGGAGCTCCAGACCATCCCGGCTAACAGGGTGAAAGCCCGTCTCTAGGAAAAATAGAACAAAGTAGCCGGGCGTGGTGGCGGGCGCCTGTAGGCCCAGCTACTCGGGAGGCTGAGGCCGGGGAATGGCGTGAACCCGGGAGGCGGAGCTTGCAGTGAGCCGAGATGGCGCCACTGCACTCCAGCCTGGGCGACAGGGCGAGACTCCGTCTGGAAGAAAAGGAAAGAAACAGCAAAAAGCCAAAGAAAAAGCCTACAGCACCCGGTATTCCCAGGCGGTCTCCCATCCAAGTACTAACCAGGCCCGACCCTGCTTAGCTTCCGAGATCAGACGAGATCGGGCGCGTTCAGGGTGGTATGGCCGTAGACGCTGAAGGAGGCGCCTGGCTGCCCCAAGAGCCCAGCCCGGCCCGGCCGTGCCCGCCGGATTGCAGCCGACACCGCCAGCCCGGGGCCGCGGGGCTCGGATCGGGGACCCCCGAGCCGCTGGCCCGCGGCCTTCCCCCGGCTCCCGCGCTCCCGAGCTTCCACCACATCGGGCCCGCTCGGAGCAGGGAGTGCTCCGAGGCGTCAGGGCCCAGGGCCCACGATCCTGGGACGCCCTCCGGTCCTCCGCCCTGTCGCGGAGGCAGCGTTTTGGATCCCTCGCCGCACAGGGGCTCCTGCGAGGCCCCCTCTTGCCCCCACCCACCCAGAGCCGTCAGGGCTGGCCGAAGGCGAACAGCCGGCCCAGCCGCGCGGGGCCTTTCTCTCACAACGCCCCCACCACGGTCGCTTGTCCCGACCAAGACCCGGCCGGGGGGGCAAGAGGGCGTGGGGTGTAGCGGGTCGGGGGGTGGCCCTGTTTTGCCCCGGGCTGGCACTAGAGGCGGCGGCCTGATCTCGGGTGAGAGGGCCTGAGAGAAACCCAGACACACCCCACCGCCACCAGGAGCAAATCCACTCCCCCACACACAGACACACCCGGGCGCGCTCGCACGCGCGCGCGCGGACACACACGCACACACACACACACACAGACACACACGCACACACGCACGCGCACACGCACGCACACACACACGCGGCTTGAAGGAGAGCAAGGACGAGATGGATGGGAGATAAGAAACCGAGGGAGGGAGAGAGACAGCGATCGAGAGAGACAGGGGAGGGCGAGAGGGAAGGAGACAGACAGAGAGGCTGAGAAAGAGAGAGGCACAGAGAAAGAGAGAGAGAGAGACAGAGAGACAGAGGGAAAACGACAGAAGTAGCGCGAGGTCCAGGGGGAAACCCAGAAGAGAGAGGCGGAGGGAGCTAGAGAGCGAGAGCGATAGAGCCTTAGAGAGGAAGCGCCCGGCTCCGTTAGGCAGCGCCCTCTTGAGCAGGCCGGGATAGGGTGGAGGGGGCTTGGGCTGCGCCCAGAACACGGGGGCCAGGCGGTCCGTGCGAGAGGACCAACGGAGCGCTGAGGCGGGCGTTTTCTTGGATGAATTGCTTGCTTTGGAGGTGGGTTTCGTAGGCTCCTGCCTTTCTTGGCACCTCCCTGTGCTCTGGGTGCCTTGCGGCGGGCCCCGAGATTTGCAGAGCGCGCCCGCCCGTTTGGCGGGAGCCGTGGCACCGGGCGGGCCCGGAGGCCTGGGTCTCTGGCGAGTCCTCGGGACTGGAGTCGTCGACACGAAGCGGGGGGCATTGGGAATCCCGGGTGCACAGGGCCTGTTTTCCCGGTGGCTGGCGAAGCAATGTTCTTCCCCCGGGTAAAGCAGCCCATGCGTTCCGGAGCCGACGTCTTGGCTGGCGTCTGTGGCACCCGCTGCCCCTGCCCGCCCCTTCCCCCGGTTTGGAAGGGTGCGACGACGGCGCCCGATGGGTGAATTGAATCGCCTGGGCGTTCCGGGAGCGGGAAGGCACCGCGAACGGCAGGGAACCCAGCGGCTGCGCCTTTGGGGTCCGGCCCCCTGCCCTCCCAGGCTGGAGCCGGGCTCCTGGCGGGGCGGCGGCGAGGCGGAAGCGGTGGGATGCTGCTGCCCGGCCGGCGTGCAGTAGGGGCGGACCCCCAGCAGGAGGACCCCGGCTGCGGCTGCGGCGGGGGTGTAGGTGGGCGGTAAAGGCGGAGCAGAGTCAGGGGAGGTTGGGAAGCATGGCGACTGTGGGGGGAAGGGAGGCAGCCGGGAAGCCACAAAAGCCTACAGCAGGCCGGGCGGGCGCGGTGGCTCGCGCCTGTAATCCCAGCACTCTGGGAGGCCGAGGCGGGTGGATCACGAGGTCAGGAGCTCCAGACCATCCCGGCTAACAGGGTGAAAGCCCGTCTCTAGGAAAAATAGAACAAAGTAGCCGGGCGTGGTGGCGGGCGCCTGTAGGCCCAGCTACTCGGGAGGCTGAGGCCGGGGAATGGCGTGAACCCGGGAGGCGGAGCTTGCAGTGAGCCGAGATGGCGCCACTGCACTCCAGCCTGGGCGACAGGGCGAGACTCCGTCTGGAAGAAAAGGAAAGAAACAGCAAAAAGCCAAAGAAAAAGCCTACAGCACCCGGTATTCCCAGGCGGTCTCCCATCCAAGTACTAACCAGGCCCGACCCTGCTTAGCTTCCGAGATCAGACGAGATCGGGCGCGTTCAGGGTGGTATGGCCGTAGACGCTGAAGGAGGCGCCTGGCTGCCCCAAGAGCCCAGCCCGGCCCGGCCGTGCCCGCCGGATTGCAGCCGACACCGCCAGCCCGGGGCCGCGGGGCTCGGATCGGGGACCCCCGAGCCGCTGGCCCGCGGCCTTCCCCCGGCTCCCGCGCTCCCGAGCTTCCACCACATCGGGCCCGCTCGGAGCAGGGAGTGCTCCGAGGCGTCAGGGCCCAGGGCCCACGATCCTGGGACGCCCTCCGGTCCTCCGCCCTGTCGCGGAGGCAGCGTTTTGGATCCCTCGCCGCACAGGGGCTCCTGCGAGGCCCCCTCTTGCCCCACCCACCCAGAGCCGTCAGGGCTGGCCGAAGGCGAACAGCCGGCCCAGCCGCGCGGGGCCTTTCTCTCACAACGCCCCCACCACGGTCGCTTGTCCCGACCAAGACCCGGCCGGGGGGGCAAGAGGGCGTGGGGTGTAGCGGGTCGGGGGGTGGCCCTGTTTTGCCCCGGGCTGGCACTAGAGGCGGCGGCCTGATCTCGGGTGAGAGGGCCTGAGAGAAACCCAGACACACCCCACCGCCACCAGGAGCAAATCCACTCCCCCACACACAGACACACCCGGGCGCGCTCGCACGCGCGCGCGCGGACACACACACACACACACACACACACACAGACACACACGCACACACGCACGCGCACACGCACGCACACACACACGCGGCTTGAAGGAGAGCAAGGACGAGATGGATGGAGAGATAGAAACCGAGGGAGGGAGAGAGACAGCGATCGAGAGAGACAGGGGAGGGCGAGAGGGAAGGAGACAGACAGAGAGGCTGAGAAAGAGAGAGGCACAGAGAAAGAGAGAGAGAGAGACAGAGAGACAGAGGGAAAACGACAGAAGTAGCGCGAGGTCCAGGGGGAAACCCAGAAGAGAGAGGCGGAGGGAGCTAGAGAGCGAGAGCGATAGAGCCTTAGAGAGGAAGCGCCCGGCTCCGTTAGGCAGCGCCCTCTTGAGCAGGCCGGGATAGGGTGGAGGGGGCTTGGGCTGCGCCCAGAACACGGGGGCCAGGCGGTCCGTGCGAGAGGACCAACGGAGCGCTGAGGCGGGCGTTTTCTTGGATGAATTGCTTGCTTTGGAGGTGGGTTTCGTAGGCTCCTGCCTTTCTTGGCACCTCCCTGTGCTCTGGGTGCCTTGCGGCGGGCCCCGAGATTTGCAGAGCGCGCCCGCCCGTTTGGCGGGAGCCGTGGCACCGGACGGGCCCGGAGGCCTGGGTCTCTGGCGAGTCCTCGGGACTGGAGTCGTCGACACGAAGCGGGGGGCATTGGGAATCCCGGGTGCACAGGGCCTGTTTTCCCGGTGGCTGGCGAAGCAATGTCCTTCCCCCGGGTAAAGCAGCCCATGCGTTCCGGAGCCGACGTCTTGGCTGGCGTCTGTGGCACCCGCTGCCCCTGCCCGCCCCTTCCCCCGGTTTGGAAGGGTGCGACGACGGCGCCCGATGGGTGAATTGAATCGCCTGGGCGTTCCGGGAGCGGGAAGGCACCGCGAACGGCAGGGAACCCAGCGGCTGCGCCTTTGGGGTCCGGCCCCCTGCCCTCCCAGGCTGGAGCCGGGCTCCTGGCGGGGCGGCGGCGAGGCGGAAGCGGTGGGATGCTGCTGCCCGGCCGGCGTGCAGTAGGGGCGGACCCCCAGCAGGAGGACCCCGGCTGCGGCTGCGGCGGGGGTGTAGGTGGGCGGTAAAGGCGGAGCAGAGTCAGGGGAGGTTGGGAAGCATGGCGACTGTGGGGGGAAGGGAGGCAGCGGGGAAGCCACAAAAGCCTACAGCAGGCCGGGCGGGCGCGGTGGCTCGCGCCTGTAATCCCAGCACTCTGGGAGGCCGAGGCGGGTGGATCACGAGGTCAGGAGCTCCAGACCATCCCGGCTAACAGGGTGAAAGCCCGTCTCTAGGAAAAATAGAACAAAGTAGCCGGGCGTGGTGGCGGGCGCCTGTAGGCCCAGCTACTCGGGAGGCTGAGGCCGGGGAATGGCGTGAACCCGGGAGGCGGAGCTTGCAGTGAGCCGAGATGGCGCCACTGCACTCCAGCCTGGGCGACAGGGCGAGACTCCGTCTGGAAGAAAAGGAAAGAAACAGCAAAAAGCCAAAGAAAAAGCCTACAGCACCCGGTATTCCCAGGCGGTCTCCCATCCAAGTACTAACCAGGCCCGACCCTGCTTAGCTTCCGAGATCAGACGAGATCGGGCGCGTTCAGGGTGGTATGGCCGTAGACGCTGAAGGAGGCGCCTGGCTGCCCCAAGAGCCCAGCCCGGCCCGGCCGTGCCCGCCGGATTGCAGCCGACACCGCCAGCCCGGGGCCGCGGGGCTCGGATCGGGGACCCCCGAGCCGCTGGCCCGCGGCCTTCCCCCGGCTCCCGCGCTCCCGAGCTTCCACCACATCGGGCCCGCTCGGAGCAGGGAGTGCTCCGAGGCGTCAGGGCCCAGGGCCCACGATCCTGGGACGCCCTCCGGTCCTCCGCCCTGTCGCGGAGGCAGCGTTTTGGATCCCTCGCCGCACAGGGGCTCCTGCGAGGCCCCCTCTTGCCCCACCCACCCAGAGCCGTCAGGGCTGGCCGAAGGCGAACAGCCGGCCCAGCCGCGCGGGGCCTTTCTCTCACAACGCCCCCACCACGGTCGCTTGTCCCGACCAAGACCCGGCCGGGGGGGCAAGAGGGCGTGGGGTGTAGCGGGTCGGGGGGTGGCCCTGTTTTGCCCCGGGCTGGCACTAGAGGCGGCGGCCTGATCTCGGGTGAGAGGGCCTGAGAGAAACCCAGACACACCCCACCGCCACCAGGAGCAAATCCACTCCCCCACACACAGACACACCCGGGCGCGCTCGCACGCGCGCGCGCGGACACACACGCACACACACACACACACACAGACACACACGCACACACGCACGCGCACACGCACGCACACACACACGCGGCTTGAAGGAGAGCAAGGACGAGATGGATGGAGAGATAGAAACCGAGGGAGGGAGAGAGACAGCGATCGAGAGAGACAGGGGAGGGCGAGAGGGAAGGAGACAGACAGAGAGGCTGAGAAAGAGAGAGGCACAGAGAAAGAGAGAGAGAGAGACAGAGAGACAGAGGGAAAACGACAGAAGTAGCGCGAGGTCCAGGGGGAAACCCAGAAGAGAGAGGCGGAGGGAGCTAGAGAGCGAGAGCGATAGAGCCTTAGAGAGGAAGCGCCCGGCTCCGTTAGGCAGCGCCCTCTTGAGCAGGCCGGGATAGGGTGGAGGGGGCTTGGGCTGCGCCCAGAACACGGGGGCCAGGCGGTCCGTGCGAGAGGACCAACGGAGCGCTGAGGCGGGCGTTTTCTTGGATGAATTGCTTGCTTTGGAGGTGGGTTTCGTAGGCTCCTGCCTTTCTTGGCACCTCCCTGTGCTCTGGGTGCCTTGCGGCGGGCCCCGAGATTTGCAGAGCGCGCCCGCCCGTTTGGCGGGAGCCGTGGCACCGGGCGGGCCCGGAGGCCTGGGTCTCTGGCGAGTCCTCGGGACTGGAGTCGTCGACACGAAGCGGGGGGCATTGGGAATCCCGGGTGCACAGGGCCTGTTTTCCCGGTGGCTGGCGAAGCAATGTTCTTCCCCCGGGTAAAGCAGCCCATGCGTTCCGGAGCCGACGTCTTGGCTGGCGTCTGTGGCACCCGCTGCCCCTGCCCGCCCCTTCCCCCGGTTTGGAAGGGTGCGACGACGGCGCCCGATGGGTGAATTGAATCGCCTGGGCGTTCCGGGAGCGGGAAGGCACCGCGAACGGCAGGGAACCCAGCGGCTGCGCCTTTGGGGTCCGGCCCCCTGCCCTCCCAGGCTGGAGCCGGGCTCCTGGCGGGGCGGCGGCGAGGCGGAAGCGGTGGGATGCTGCTGCCCGGCCGGCGTGCAGTAGGGGCGGACCCCCAGCAGGAGGACCCCGGCTGCGGCTGCGGCGGGGGTGTAGGTGGGCGGTAAAGGCGGAGCAGAGTCAGGGGAGGTTGGGAAGCATGGCGACTGTGGGGGGAAGGGAGGCAGCCGGGAAGCCACAAAAGCCTACAGCAGGCCGGGCGGGCGCGGTGGCTCGCGCCTGTAATCCCAGCACTCTGGGAGGCCGAGGCGGGTGGATCACGAGGTCAGGAGCTCCAGACCATCCCGGCTAACAGGGTGAAAGCCCGTCTCTAGGAAAAATAGAACAAAGTAGCCGGGCGTGGTGGCGGGCGCCTGTAGGCCCAGCTACTCGGGAGGCTGAGGCCGGGGAATGGCGTGAACCCGGGAGGCGGAGCTTGCAGTGAGCCGAGATGGCGCCACTGCACTCCAGCCTGGGCGACAGGGCGAGACTCCGTCTGGAAGAAAAGGAAAGAAACAGCAAAAAGCCAAAGAAAAAGCCTACAGCACCCGGTATTCCCAGGCGGTCTCCCATCCAAGTACTAACCAGGCCCGACCCTGCTTAGCTTCCGAGATCAGACGAGATCGGGCGCGTTCAGGGTGGTATGGCCGTAGACGCTGAAGGAGGCGCCTGGCTGCCCCAAGAGCCCAGCCCGGCCCGGCCGTGCCCGCCGGATTGCAGCCGACACCGCCAGCCCGGGGCCGCGGGGCTCGGATCGGGGACCCCCGAGCCGCTGGCCCGCGGCCTTCCCCCGGCTCCCGCGCTCCCGAGCTTCCACCACATCGGGCCCGCTCGGAGCAGGGAGTGCTCCGAGGCGTCAGGGCCCAGGGCCCACGATCCTGGGACGCCCTCCGGTCCTCCGCCCTGTCGCGGAGGCAGCGTTTTGGATCCCTCGCCGCACAGGGGCTCCTGCGAGGCCCCCTCTTGCCCCACCCACCCAGAGCCGTCAGGGCTGGCCGAAGGCGAACAGCCGGCCCAGCCGCGCGGGGCCTTTCTCTCACAACGCCCCCACCACGGTCGCTTGTCCCGACCAAGACCCGGCCGGGGGGGCAAGAGGGCGTGGGGTGTAGCGGGTCGGGGGGTGGCCCTGTTTTGCCCCGGGCTGGCACTAGAGGCGGCGGCCTGATCTCGGGTGAGAGGGCCTGAGAGAAACCCAGACACACCCCACCGCCACCAGGAGCAAATCCACTCCCCCACACACAGACACACCCGGGCGCGCTCGCACGCGCGCGCGCGGACACACACACACACACACACACACACACAGACACACACGCACACACGCACGCGCACACGCACGCACACACACACGCGGCTTGAAGGAGAGCAAGGACGAGATGGATGGAGAGATAGAAACCGAGGGAGGGAGAGAGACAGCGATCGAGAGAGACAGGGGAGGGCGAGAGGGAAGGAGACAGACAGAGAGGCTGAGAAAGAGAGAGGCACAGAGAAAGAGAGAGAGAGAGACAGAGAGACAGAGGGAAAACGACAGAAGTAGCGCGAGGTCCAGGGGGAAACCCAGAAGAGAGAGGCGGAGGGAGCTAGAGAGCGAGAGCGATAGAGCCTTAGAGAGGAAGCGCCCGGCTCCGTTAGGCAGCGCCCTCTTGAGCAGGCCGGGATAGGGTGGAGGGGGCTTGGGCTGCGCCCAGAACACGGGGGCCAGGCGGTCCGTGCGAGAGGACCAACGGAGCGCTGAGGCGGGCGTTTTCTTGGATGAATTGCTTGCTTTGGAGGTGGGTTTCGTAGGCTCCTGCCTTTCTTGGCACCTCCCTGTGCTCTGGGTGCCTTGCGGCGGGCCCCGAGATTTGCAGAGCGCGCCCGCCCGTTTGGCGGGAGCCGTGGCACCGGACGGGCCCGGAGGCCTGGGTCTCTGGCGAGTCCTCGGGACTGGAGTCGTCGACACGAAGCGGGGGGCATTGGGAATCCCGGGTGCACAGGGCCTGTTTTCCCGGTGGCTGGCGAAGCAATGTCCTTCCCCCGGGTAAAGCAGCCCATGCGTTCCGGAGCCGACGTCTTGGCTGGCGTCTGTGGCACCCGCTGCCCCTGCCCGCCCCTTCCCCCGGTTTGGAAGGGTGCGACGACGGCGCCCGATGGGTGAATTGAATCGCCTGGGCGTTCCGGGAGCGGGAAGGCACCGCGAACGGCAGGGAACCCAGCGGCTGCGCCTTTGGGGTCCGGCCCCCTGCCCTCCCAGGCTGGAGCCGGGCTCCTGGCGGGGCGGCGGCGAGGCGGAAGCGGTGGGATGCTGCTGCCCGGCCGGCGTGCAGTAGGGGCGGACCCCCAGCAGGAGGACCCCGGCTGCGGCTGCGGCGGGGGTGTAGGTGGGCGGTAAAGGCGGAGCAGAGTCAGGGGAGGTTGGGAAGCATGGCGACTGTGGGGGAAGGGAGGCAGCGGGGAAGCCACAAAAGCCTACAGCAGGCCGGGCGGGCGCGGTGGCTCGCGCCTGTAATCCCAGCACTCTGGGAGGCCGAGGCGGGTGGATCACGAGGTCAGGAGCTCCAGACCATCCCGGCTAACAGGGTGAAAGCCCGTCTCTAGGAAAAATAGAACAAAGTAGCCGGGCGTGGTGGCGGGCGCCTGTAGGCCCAGCTACTCGGGAGGCTGAGGCCGGGGAATGGCGTGAACCCGGGAGGCGGAGCTTGCAGTGAGCCGAGATGGCGCCACTGCACTCCAGCCTGGGCGACAGGGCGAGACTCCGTCTGGAAGAAAAGGAAAGAAACAGCAAAAAGCCAAAGAAAAAGCCTACAGCACCCGGTATTCCCAGGCGGTCTCCCATCCAAGTACTAACCAGGCCCGACCCTGCTTAGCTTCCGAGATCAGACGAGATCGGGCGCGTTCAGGGTGGTATGGCCGTAGACGCTGAAGGAGGCGCCTGGCTGCCCCAAGAGCCCAGCCCGGCCCGGCCGTGCCCGCCGGATTGCAGCCGACACCGCCAGCCCGGGGCCGCGGGGCTCGGATCGGGGACCCCCGAGCCGCTGGCCCGCGGCCTTCCCCCGGCTCCCGCGCTCCCGAGCTTCCACCACATCGGGCCCGCTCGGAGCAGGGAGTGCTCCGAGGCGTCAGGGCCCAGGGCCCACGATCCTGGGACGCCCTCCGGTCCTCCGCCCTGTCGCGGAGGCAGCGTTTTGGATCCCTCGCCGCACAGGGGCTCCTGCGAGGCCCCCTCTTGCCCCACCCACCCAGAGCCGTCAGGGCTGGCCGAAGGCGAACAGCCGGCCCAGCCGCGCGGGGCCTTTCTCTCACAACGCCCCCACCACGGTCGCTTGTCCCGACCAAGACCCGGCCGGGGGGGCAAGAGGGCGTGGGGTGTAGCGGGTCGGGGGGTGGCCCTGTTTTGCCCCGGGCTGGCACTAGAGGCGGCGGCCTGATCTCGGGTGAGAGGGCCTGAGAGAAACCCAGACACACCCCACCGCCACCAGGAGCAAATCCACTCCCCCACACACAGACACACCCGGGCGCGCTCGCACGCGCGCGCGCGGACACACACACACACACACACACACAGACACACACGCACACACGCACGCGCACACGCACGCACACACACACGCGGCTTGAAGGAGAGCAAGGACGAGATGGATGGAGAGATAGAAACCGAGGGAGGGAGAGAGACAGCGATCGAGAGAGACAGGGGAGGGCGAGAGGGAAGGAGACAGACAGAGAGGCTGAGAAAGAGAGAGGCACAGAGAAAGAGAGAGAGAGAGACAGAGAGACAGAGGGAAAACGACAGAAGTAGCGCGAGGTCCAGGGGGAAACCCAGAAGAGAGAGGCGGAGGGAGCTAGAGAGCGAGAGCGATAGAGCCTTAGAGAGGAAGCGCCCGGCTCCGTTAGGCAGCGCCCTCTTGAGCAGGCCGGGATAGGGTGGAGGGGGCTTGGGCTGCGCCCAGAACACGGGGGCCAGGCGGTCCGTGCGAGAGGACCAACGGAGCGCTGAGGCGGGCGTTTTCTTGGATGAATTGCTTGCTTTGGAGGTGGGTTTCGTAGGCTCCTGCCTTTCTTGGCACCTCCCTGTGCTCTGGGTGCCTTGCGGCGGGCCCCGAGATTTGCAGAGCGCGCCCGCCCGTTTGGCGGGAGCCGTGGCACCGGACGGGCCCGGAGGCCTGGGTCTCTGGCGAGTCCTCGGGACTGGAGTCGTCGACACGAAGCGGGGGGCATTGGGAATCCCGGGTGCACAGGGCCTGTTTTCCCGGTGGCTGGCGAAGCAATGTCCTTCCCCCGGGTAAAGCAGCCCATGCGTTCCGGAGCCGACGTCTTGGCTGGCGTCTGTGGCACCCGCTGCCCCTGCCCGCCCCTTCCCCCGGTTTGGAAGGGTGCGACGACGGCGCCCGATGGGTGAATTGAATCGCCTGGGCGTTCCGGGAGCGGGAAGGCACCGCGAACGGCAGGGAACCCAGCGGCTGCGCCTTTGGGGTCCGGCCCCCTGCCCTCCCAGGCTGGAGCCGGGCTCCTGGCGGGGCGGCGGCGAGGCGGAAGCGGTGGGATGCTGCTGCCCGGCCGGCGTGCAGTAGGGGCGGACCCCCAGCAGGAGGACCCCGGCTGCGGCTGCGGCGGGGGTGTAGGTGGGCGGTAAAGGCGGAGCAGAGTCAGGGGAGGTTGGGAAGCATGGCGACTGTGGGGGGAAGGGAGGCAGCGGGGAAGCCACAAAAGCCTACAGCAGGCCGGGCGGGCGCGGTGGCTCGCGCCTGTAATCCCAGCACTCTGGGAGGCCGAGGCGGGTGGATCACGAGGTCAGGAGCTCCAGACCATCCCGGCTAACAGGGTGAAAGCCCGTCTCTAGGAAAAATAGAACAAAGTAGCCGGGCGTGGTGGCGGGCGCCTGTAGGCCCAGCTACTCGGGAGGCTGAGGCCGGGGAATGGCGTGAACCCGGGAGGCGGAGCTTGCAGTGAGCCGAGATGGCGCCACTGCACTCCAGCCTGGGCGACAGGGCGAGACTCCGTCTGGAAGAAAAGGAAAGAAACAGCAAAAAGCCAAAGAAAAAGCCTACAGCACCCGGTATTCCCAGGCGGTCTCCCATCCAAGTACTAACCAGGCCCGACCCTGCTTAGCTTCCGAGATCAGACGAGATCGGGCGCGTTCAGGGTGGTATGGCCGTAGACGCTGAAGGAGGCGCCTGGCTGCCCCAAGAGCCCAGCCCGGCCCGGCCGTGCCCGCCGGATTGCAGCCGACACCGCCAGCCCGGGGCCGCGGGGCTCGGATCGGGGACCCCCGAGCCGCTGGCCCGCGGCCTTCCCCCGGCTCCCGCGCTCCCGAGCTTCCACCACATCGGGCCCGCTCGGAGCAGGGAGTGCTCCGAGGCGTCAGGGCCCAGGGCCCACGATCCTGGGACGCCCTCCGGTCCTCCGCCCTGTCGCGGAGGCAGCGTTTTGGATCCCTCGCCGCACAGGGGCTCCTGCGAGGCCCCCTCTTGCCCCACCCACCCAGAGCCGTCAGGGCTGGCCGAAGGCGAACAGCCGGCCCAGCCGCGCGGGGCCTTTCTCTCACAACGCCCCCACCACGGTCGCTTGTCCCGACCAAGACCCGGCCGGGGGGGCAAGAGGGCGTGGGGTGTAGCGGGTCGGGGGGTGGCCCTGTTTTGCCCCGGGCTGGCACTAGAGGCGGCGGCCTGATCTCGGGTGAGAGGGCCTGAGAGAAACCCAGACACACCCCACCGCCACCAGGAGCAAATCCACTCCCCCACACACAGACACACCCGGGCGCGCTCGCACGCGCGCGCGCGGACACACACGCACACACACACACACACAGACACACACGCACACACGCACGCGCACACGCACGCACACACACACGCGGCTTGAAGGAGAGCAAGGACGAGATGGATGGAGAGATAGAAACCGAGGGAGGGAGAGAGACAGCGATCGAGAGAGACAGGGGAGGGCGAGAGGGAAGGAGACAGACAGAGAGGCTGAGAAAGAGAGAGGCACAGAGAAAGAGAGAGAGAGAGACAGAGAGACAGAGGGAAAACGACAGAAGTAGCGCGAGGTCCAGGGGGAAACCCAGAAGAGAGAGGCGGAGGGAGCTAGAGAGCGAGAGCGATAGAGCCTTAGAGAGGAAGCGCCCGGCTCCGTTAGGCAGCGCCCTCTTGAGCAGGCCGGGATAGGGTGGAGGGGGCTTGGGCTGCGCCCAGAACACGGGGGCCAGGCGGTCCGTGCGAGAGGACCAACGGAGCGCTGAGGCGGGCGTTTTCTTGGATGAATTGCTTGCTTTGGAGGTGGGTTTCGTAGGCTCCTGCCTTTCTTGGCACCTCCCTGTGCTCTGGGTGCCTTGCGGCGGGCCCCGAGATTTGCAGAGCGCGCCCGCCCGTTTGGCGGGAGCCGTGGCACCGGACGGGCCCGGAGGCCTGGGTCTCTGGCGAGTCCTCGGGACTGGAGTCGTCGACACGAAGCGGGGGGCATTGGGAATCCCGGGTGCACAGGGCCTGTTTTCCCGGTGGCTGGCGAAGCAATGTCCTTCCCCCGGGTAAAGCAGCCCATGCGTTCCGGAGCCGACGTCTTGGCTGGCGTCTGTGGCACCCGCTGCCCCTGCCCGCCCCTTCCCCCGGTTTGGAAGGGTGCGACGACGGCGCCCGATGGGTGAATTGAATCGCCTGGGCGTTCCGGGAGCGGGAAGGCACCGCGAACGGCAGGGAACCCAGCGGCTGCGCCTTTGGGGTCCGGCCCCCTGCCCTCCCAGGCTGGAGCCGGGCTCCTGGCGGGGCGGCGGCGAGGCGGAAGCGGTGGGATGCTGCTGCCCGGCCGGCGTGCAGTAGGGGCGGACCCCCAGCAGGAGGACCCCGGCTGCGGCTGCGGCGGGGGTGTAGGTGGGCGGTAAAGGCGGAGCAGAGTCAGGGGAGGTTGGGAAGCATGGCGACTGTGGGGGGAAGGGAGGCAGCGGGGAAGCCACAAAAGCCTACAGCAGGCCGGGCGGGCGCGGTGGCTCGCGCCTGTAATCCCAGCACTCTGGGAGGCCGAGGCGGGTGGATCACGAGGTCAGGAGCTCCAGACCATCCCGGCTAACAGGGTGAAAGCCCGTCTCTAGGAAAAATAGAACAAAGTAGCCGGGCGTGGTGGCGGGCGCCTGTAGGCCCAGCTACTCGGGAGGCTGAGGCCGGGGAATGGCGTGAACCCGGGAGGCGGAGCTTGCAGTGAGCCGAGATGGCGCCACTGCACTCCAGCCTGGGCGACAGGGCGAGACTCCGTCTGGAAGAAAAGGAAAGAAACAGCAAAAAGCCAAAGAAAAAGCCTACAGCACCCGGTATTCCCAGGCGGTCTCCCATCCAAGTACTAACCAGGCCCGACCCTGCTTAGCTTCCGAGATCAGACGAGATCGGGCGCGTTCAGGGTGGTATGGCCGTAGACGCTGAAGGAGGCGCCTGGCTGCCCCAAGAGCCCAGCCCGGCCCGGCCGTGCCCGCCGGATTGCAGCCGACACCGCCAGCCCGGGGCCGCGGGGCTCGGATCGGGGACCCCCGAGCCGCTGGCCCGCGGCCTTCCCCCGGCTCCCGCGCTCCCGAGCTTCCACCACATCGGGCCCGCTCGGAGCAGGGAGTGCTCCGAGGCGTCAGGGCCCAGGGCCCACGATCCTGGGACGCCCTCCGGTCCTCCGCCCTGTCGCGGAGGCAGCGTTTTGGATCCCTCGCCGCACAGGGGCTCCTGCGAGGCCCCCTCTTGCCCCACCCACCCAGAGCCGTCAGGGCTGGCCGAAGGCGAACAGCCGGCCCAGCCGCGCGGGGCCTTTCTCTCACAACGCCCCCACCACGGTCGCTTGTCCCGACCAAGACCCGGCCGGGGGGGCAAGAGGGCGTGGGGTGTAGCGGGTCGGGGGGTGGCCCTGTTTTGCCCCGGGCTGGCACTAGAGGCGGCGGCCTGATCTCGGGTGAGAGGGCCTGAGAGAAACCCAGACACACCCCACCGCCACCAGGAGCAAATCCACTCCCCCACACACAGACACACCCGGGCGCGCTCGCACGCGCGCGCGCGGACACACACGCACACACACACACACACAGACACACACGCACACACGCACGCGCACACGCACGCACACACACACGCGGCTTGAAGGAGAGCAAGGACGAGATGGATGGAGAGATAGAAACCGAGGGAGGGAGAGAGACAGCGATCGAGAGAGACAGGGGAGGGCGAGAGGGAAGGAGACAGACAGAGAGGCTGAGAAAGAGAGAGGCACAGAGAAAGAGAGAGAGAGAGACAGAGAGACAGAGGGAAAACGACAGAAGTAGCGCGAGGTCCAGGGGGAAACCCAGAAGAGAGAGGCGGAGGGAGCTAGAGAGCGAGAGCGATAGAGCCTTAGAGAGGAAGCGCCCGGCTCCGTTAGGCAGCGCCCTCTTGAGCAGGCCGGGATAGGGTGGAGGGGGCTTGGGCTGCGCCCAGAACACGGGGGCCAGGCGGTCCGTGCGAGAGGACCAACGGAGCGCTGAGGCGGGCGTTTTCTTGGATGAATTGCTTGCTTTGGAGGTGGGTTTCGTAGGCTCCTGCCTTTCTTGGCACCTCCCTGTGCTCTGGGTGCCTTGCGGCGGGCCCCGAGATTTGCAGAGCGCGCCCGCCCGTTTGGCGGGAGCCGTGGCACCGGGCGGGCCCGGAGGCCTGGGTCTCTGGCGAGTCCTCGGGACTGGAGTCGTCGACACGAAGCGGGGGGCATTGGGAATCCCGGGTGCACAGGGCCTGTTTTCCCGGTGGCTGGCGAAGCAATGTCCTTCCCCCGGGTAAAGCAGCCCATGCGTTCCGGAGCCGACGTCTTGGCTGGCGTCTGTGGCACCCGCTGCCCCTGCCCGCCCCTTCCCCCGGTTTGGAAGGGTGCGACGACGGCGCCCGATGGGTGAATTGAATCGCCTGGGCGTTCCGGGAGCGGGAAGGCACCGCGAACGGCAGGGAACCCAGCGGCTGCGCCTTTGGGGTCCGGCCCCCTGCCCTCCCAGGCTGGAGCCGGGCTCCTGGCGGGGCGGCGGCGAGGCGGAAGCGGTGGGATGCTGCTGCCCGGCCGGCGTGCAGTAGGGGCGGACCCCCAGCAGGAGGACCCCGGCTGCGGCTGCGGCGGGGGTGTAGGTGGGCGGTAAAGGGGGAGCAGAGTCAGGGGAGGTTGGGAAGCATGGCGACTGTGGGGGAAGGGAGGCAGCGGGGAAGCCACAAAAGCCTACAGCAGGCCGGGCGGGCGCGGTGGCTCGCGCCTGTAATCCCAGCACTCTGGGAGGCCGAGGCGGGTGGATCACGAGGTCAGGAGCTCCAGACCATCCCGGCTAACAGGGTGAAAGCCCGTCTCTAGGAAAAATAGAACAAAGTAGCCGGGCGTGGTGGCGGGCGCCTGTAGGCCCAGCTACTCGGGAGGCTGAGGCCGGGGAATGGCGTGAACCCGGGAGGCGGAGCTTGCAGTGAGCCGAGATGGCGCCACTGCACTCCAGCCTGGGCGACAGGGCGAGACTCCGTCTGGAAGAAAAGGAAAGAAACAGCAAAAAGCCAAAGAAAAAGCCTACAGCACCCGGTATTCCCAGGCGGTCTCCCATCCAAGTACTAACCAGGCCCGACCCTGCTTAGCTTCCGAGATCAGACGAGATCGGGCGCGTTCAGGGTGGTATGGCCGTAGACGCTGAAGGAGGCGCCTGGCTGCCCCAAGAGCCCAGCCCCGCCCGGCCGTGCCCGCCGGATTGCAGCCGACACCGCCAGCCCGGGGCCGCGGGGCTCGGATCGGGGACCCCCGAGCCGCTGGCCCGCGGCCTTCCCCCGGCTCCCGCGCTCCCGAGCTTCCACCACATCGGGCCCGCTCGGAGCAGGGAGTGCTCCGAGGCGTCAGGGCCCAGGGCCCACGATCCTGGGACGCCCTCCGGTCCTCCGCCCTGTCGCGGAGGCAGCGTTTTGGATCCCTCGCCGCACAGGGGCTCCTGCGAGGCCCCCTCTTGCCCCACCCACCCAGAGCCGTCAGGGCTGGCCGAAGGCGAACAGCCCGCCCAGCCGCGCGGGGCCTTTCTCTCACAACGCCCCCACCACGGTCGCTTGTCCCGACCAAGACCCGGCCGGGGGGGCAAGAGGGCGTGGGGTGTAGCGGGTCGGGGGGTGGCCCTGTTTTGCCCCGGGCTGGCACTAGAGGCGGCGGCCTGATCTCGGGTGAGAGGGCCTGAGAGAAACCCAGACACACCCCACCGCCACCAGGAGCAAATCCACTCCCCCACACACAGACACACCCGGGCGCGCTCGCACGCGCGCGCGCGGACACACACGCACACACACACACACACAGACACACACGCACACACGCACGCGCACACGCACGCACACACACACGCGGCTTGAAGGAGAGCAAGGACGAGATGGATGGAGAGATAGAAACCGAGGGAGGGAGAGAGACAGCGATCGAGAGAGACAGGGGAGGGCGAGAGGGAAGGAGACAGACAGAGAGGCTGAGAAAGAGAGAGGCACAGAGAAAGAGAGAGAGAGAGACAGAGAGACAGAGGGAAAACGACAGAAGTAGCGCGAGGTCCAGGGGGAAACCCAGAAGAGAGAGGCGGAGGGAGCTAGAGAGCGAGAGCGATAGAGCCTTAGAGAGGAAGCGCCCGGCTCCGTTAGGCAGCGCCCTCTTGAGCAGGCCGGGATAGGGTGGAGGGGGCTTGGGCTGCGCCCAGAACACGGGGGCCAGGCGGTCCGTGCGAGAGGACCAACGGAGCGCTGAGGCGGGCGTTTTCTTGGATGAATTGCTTGCTTTGGAGGTGGGTTTCGTAGGCTCCTGCCTTTCTTGGCACCTCCCTGTGCTCTGGGTGCCTTGCGGCGGGCCCCGAGATTTGCAGAGCGCGCCCGCCCGTTTGGCGGGAGCCGTGGCACCGGGCGGGCCCGGAGGCCTGGGTCTCTGGCGAGTCCTCGGGACTGGAGTCGTCGACACGAAGCGGGGGGCATTGGGAATCCCGGGTGCACAGGGCCTGTTTTCCCGGTGGCTGGCGAAGCAATGTCCTTCCCCCGGGGTAAAGCAGCCCATGCGTTCCGGAGCCGACGTCTTGGCTGGCGTCTGTGGCACCCGCTGCCCCTGCCCGCCCCTTCCCCCGGTTTGGAAGGGTGCGACGACGGCGCCCGATGGGTGAATTGAATCGCCTGGGCGTTCCGGGAGCGGGAAGGCACCGCGAACGGCAGGGAACCCAGCGGCTGCGCCTTTGGGGTCCGGCCCCCTGCCCTCCCAGGCTGGAGCCGGGCTCCTGGCGGGGCGGCGGCGAGGCGGAAGCGGTGGGATGCTGCTGCCCGGCCGGCGTGCAGTAGGGGCGGACCCCCAGCAGGAGGACCCCGGCTGCGGCTGCGGCGGGGGTGTAGGTGGGCGGTAAAGGGGGAGCAGAGTCAGGGGAGGTTGGGAAGCATGGCGACTGTGGGGGGAAGGGAGGCAGCCGGGAAGCCACAAAAGCCTACAGCAGGCCGGGCGGGCGCGGTGGCTCGCGCCTGTAATCCCAGCACTCTGGGAGGCCGAGGCGGGTGGATCACGAGGTCAGGAGCTCCAGACCATCCCGGCTAACAGGGTGAAAGCCCGTCTCTAGGAAAAATAGAACAAAGTAGCCGGGCGTGGTGGCGGGCGCCTGTAGGCCCAGCTACTCGGGAGGCTGAGGCCGGGGAATGGCGTGAACCCGGGAGGCGGAGCTTGTAGTGAGCCGAGATGGCGCCACTGCACTCCAGCCTGGGCGACAGGGCGAGACTCCGTCTGGAAGAAAAGGAAAGAAACAGCAAAAAGCCAAAGAAAAAGCCTACAGCACCCGGTATTCCCAGGCGGTCTCCCATCCAAGTACTAACCAGGCCCGACCCTGCTTAGCTTCCGAGATCAGACAAGATCGGGCGCGTTCAGGGTGGTATGGCCGTAGACGCTGAAGGAGGCGCCTGGCTGCCCCAAGAGCCCAGCCCGGCCCGGCCGTGCCCGCCGGATTGCAGCCGACACCGCCAGCCCGGGGCCGCGGGGCTCGGATCGGGGACCCCCGAGCCGCTGGCCCGCGGCCTTCCCCCGGCTCCCGCGCTCCCGAGCTTCCACCACATCGGGCCCGCTCGGAGCAGGGAGTGCTCCGAGGCGTCAGGGCCCAGGGCCCACGATCCTGGGACGCCCTCCGGTCCTCCGCCCTGTCGCGGAGGCAGCGTTTTGGATCCCTCGCCGCACAGGGGCTCCTGCGAGGCCCCCTCTTGCCCCACCCACCCAGAGCCGTCAGGGCTGGCCGAAGGCGAACAGCCGGCCCAGCCGCGCGGGGCCTTTCTCTCACAACGCCCCCACCACGGTCGCTTGTCCCGACCAAGACCCGGCCGGGGGGCAAGAGGGCGTGGGGTGTAGCGGGTCGGGGGGTGGCCCTGTTTTGCCCCGGGCTGGCACTAGAGGCGGCGGCCTGATCTCGGGTGAGAGGGCCTGAGAGAAACCCAGACACACCCCACCGCCACCAGGAGCAAATCCACTCCCCCACACACAGACACACCCGTTCGTTCTCGTTCCGGAACCCGCACGCGAGCACGGGTGCGCAGACGCACGCACACACACACACGGTGAAACACAGACACACACGGCTTGAAGGAGAGCAAGGAGAAGATGGATGGAGAGATAGAAACCGAGGGAGGGAGAGAGACAGCGATCGAGAGAGACCGGAGAGGTGGAGAGGTAAAGAGAGAGAGGCTAAGAGGGACAGAGAAAGGGAGAAGTACAGAGGTACAGAGGGAAGGCTAGAGAAATAACGCGAGGTCCAGGGGGAAACCAGAAGAGTGAGGAGGAGGGAGCTAGAGAGCGAGAACGTTTGAGCCTTAGAGAGGAAGCACCCTACTTCGGTAGGCAGCCCCCTTTTGAGCAGACCGGAATAGGGTGGAGGGGTTTGAGCTGTGCCTGAGCAGGGCGGCCAGGCGGCCCGTGCGAGAGGACCAACGGAGCGCTGAGACGGGTTTTTTCTTGGATGAATTGCTTGCTTTGGAGGTGGGTTTCGTAGGCTCCATTCTTTCTTGGCACCTCAGTGTGCTCTTGGTACCTCACTGTGCTCTTGGTGCGGTGCAGTGGGCCCCGAGATTTGCAGAGTGCGCCCGCCCTTTTGGCGGGAGCCGTGGTACCGGGCGCGTCCGGAGGCCTGGGTCTCTGGCGTGTCCTCGGTACTGGAGTTGACACGAAGTGCGGGGCAATAGGAATCCGGGTGCACAGGGACTGTTTTCCTGGTGGTTGGCGAAGCAATGTCCTTCCCCCCGGGTAAAGCAGTCCATGCGTTCTGGAGCGGAGATCTTGGCTGGCGTCTGTGGTACCCGCTGCCCCTGCCCGCCCCTTCCCCCGGTTTATAAGGTTGCGACTGCGCCGGATGAGTGAATTGAATTGCCTGGTGGATCCGGGAGCGGGAAGGCACCGCGAACGGCAGGGAATCCTGGCCTGCACCTTAGTGATCTGAGGCGTGGTGTTTCTGCTGGATCCGGTTTCATCGTGTTGCGCCGCCCATCCTGAATAGTTGTGATGTTGTTGCCTGGCTGTGCTGCAGGTTAGCCCACACTAAGCGGTCCCGGGCTGTTGTGTGGGCTTGGGCGTGTGAAAAGAGGGAGCAGATTTACGGTGCGGTTGAGAAGTACGGCGACCAAACGGTAAAGAGGGAGGAACTTGAAGTCTAAACAAGCCTGCGTCTCTTGGTTTTCTCAAGTGGCGTTTCATCTAAGTAGCGGTCTGGCCCAGACCCTGCTTATCTTCACGAGATCAGAGGAGACCGGACGCCTTCGGGGTGGTATGGCCTTAGACGCCGGTAGTGCAGCCTGTCTGCCCCAAAGGCGCGGCTCAGCCACGCCCGTCCGACTCCATGCGCCACCTCTAATCCAGTGCCATGGGGATCTTATCGGGACCCGGGAGCCGCTCGCCGGAGGTCTGGCTGGGTTGCTCTCCGTGTCTACGCCCAAGCACCGTTGCCCGCCGCCTTGCGCCTTCTGTTGGCCTCTTAGAGCCTTCCGTGATTGCTTGCGCCTAGGCCACTCGCTGGACCTCCGCGGCGCCACCCTGTTTCCTCGCGGGAGTGCCAGAGGCCTTTTCCCCTGCCCAAGCTCTGGGATCTCCGGGCAGCCTCCATTCCGCCGACTCTCCAGGCCTTCCCCGGCTCCGGAGCTCCAGAGCTTCCATGACTTTGGGCCGCTCCGGACTTGGTGTGCTCTGAGGTGTCAACGCCCAGGGCCCACAGTCCTGGGATCTTCTCTGGTCTTTTGCCTTGCGGCGGGGGGATTGTTTTGTATCCCTTGCTGCCCCTCTTGCAAGACCCTCTCTTGCTTCACCCACCCAGAGCCGTTTCTTTAAAATTTCAACCATGTTCTGAACTGCAGCTTTACAGTTGAATATTTTCTTTCAGAATAATTTGATTCTGAACTCGGTTTTTCTTGACATACCTGAATTGTTTCATGTGAGCCGGCAATTTCACATGCTTTTACTTTTTCTTTTTTTTAAAATTTTTATTTTTGAGACAGAGTCACATTATAATCTATTACTTCTACTAGAGATCTGTTTCTTCCTATTTAATGAATTATTGCTTTTCATATAGTCTGAAATTTGTTTTTTCTCTCTTTCTTTCTCTTCCTCTCTCTCTTTCTTTCTTTCTTTCTTTCTTTCTGACGGATTCTCGCTCTGTTGGCCAGGCTGGAGTGCAGTGTTCGATCTCGGCTCACCGCAACCTCCTCTTCTGGGTTAAAGCCATTCTCTCGCCTCAGCCTCCCGAGTACCTTGTACTAAAGGCGCGCACCAACCTCGCCTGGCTAGTTTTTGTATTTTTAGCAGTGACATGGTTTCTGCACGTTGGCCAGTCCTGTCTCAAACTCCAGACCTCGGGTGATCTGCCTGCCTCGGCCTCTTAAAATACTAGGTTTACAGGTGTGAGCCACTGTGCCTACCAGCTTTTACTTTTTCTAAAAGCCATGTATTACCCTGTTCAAGGTACTAGAGTACCTGTTTACATTCCTCTATAATATGGCAAACATTACTAATTTTGGGCACACACTCTTCCTTTGTCTTATTGAATTCAAGTACCTTTTCGTCAGGTTTGACTTCCAGGTTCTCTAAATGTGCTTTCTGGAGGCTGAAGCAATCATATTGCTGGAGATATTTCTTTACCTTTTTGATAACTGGTCTAAGAAACAAAGATTTTACATTTTATCAGGATAATTATCTGTGGTTCCTGTTGCTTGTTTTTATTAGGTTTTTGATTACTTGACAAAACAGCGCTTAAAAGGGTTAAGGGTTTTTAAAAAAATTCATGTAACTGTCTGTATTTCATTTTGAAGTATTTTGATTATCATCCTGGTTAAATAAATGACTATTAATTCACAGTGACATTTGATGCTGTTTTGATAAAGTGTTTTTAACCTTTTGATATTTTGGCAAGCTTTCCCGGGATCACATCCTAAATTGTCTTTTCTTTTTTTATCTTGAATTAACTTGATGTTCCAGAGGGCCCTGAAACTTTTCAAATGTTTATAAAAGAGACATATTAAACTAAATCAGGCTCATTTGAAGATGATAAACTGTATGAAAAACATTGTCAAATAAGTTACACTAGATCTTCTTTCAGTTATATTTTATGGGTGTGTTATTGATATGAATGTTCCAAAATTGTGTAAAACTCCTAGAAATCTAAGACGTCATCA
The DNA here is from genome assembly GCF_000001405.40 of Homo sapiens. Lineage (NCBI taxonomy): Eukaryota > Metazoa > Chordata > Mammalia > Primates > Hominidae > Homo > Homo sapiens. The sequence goes on from NW_018654708.1 coordinate 227,243, forward strand.
GTTGTAATTCTGCTTATGTTGTTTGACACAAAATAACCAGTTTCTTGTCAATTTCTGGTTATAATAAACTTTCATCAGATTTTTAACCATAATTATTCTATTCTAAGTTTTTGTTATCCACAGTTATTGTTTTGACTTTTCTTTAAAGGCATCTGCAATCAGATTCATAGAAAGAACTCTAACAGGTACTCTTGAATACAGATTTCTAATAACTTTAAGATCAATGGAAAGCAGAGCTGCACTGCGGTTAGGGCCTAGTTCCATCAGCGGCTGCAGCCCCATGGGTCGCCCATGGGGACCCTGGCCTTGGGCACCTGTGGAGTACGTGGCGCTGGGTCGCTGGGTCGCTGGCGCCAGTGTGCAAGATGCTCCGCAAGGAGGCAGCGGCGGGCTGGATGGTGCTTGGCTGCCGGCCCTACCTGGCCTTTACCGCCTTGAGCGTGCCTGGCTCACTCAACATCAACCTCTATTCACTGGTGTGCGCCAGCCCGGGGCGGCTGTGGGGTCAGCGTGCTACTTGCTGCCAGATGCCTCGGAGCACGCTGCTGCTGCAGGAGGGCAGCATCCTGGTGGCCGTGATGGTGCTGAACTAGGGGAGCTGCCACGGGCAGAAGCTGTGCGAGGAGAGTGCCCGGCGGGTTGTCCTCACCTCACTGCTCGCCTGCCTGCCCTCCTGCTGGCGGGTCTACTTCCTCAAAGGGGGATATGAGACCTTCTTCCAGGGTTGCATGGATGTAAAACTCGTTTCACTCGTTTCAAAGTGAGAGAGCTCTCATCAGCCAGTGTGGAAAGCTAGTAGTGCTAAACATCAACTACAGGCCAGCTTATGATCAGGGTGGTCCAGTTGAAATCCTTTCCTCCCTCTACCTTGGAGGTGCCTACCATGCATCCAAGTGCAAGTTCCTCATCAAGCTATACATCACAGCCCAGCTGAATGTCCCCTTGTGGACCTGGCTGTGAGGCCTGCAAGACCCACCTACATACGAATGGATCCTTGTGGAAGAAGGCCACATGGCTGACATTAGCTCTCACTTTCAAGAAGCAATAGACTTCATTGACTGTGTCAGAGAAAAGAAAGGCAAGGTCCTGGTCCACTGTGAAGCTGGGTTCTCCTGTTCACCCACCATCTGCATGGCTTCCCTCATAAAGACCAAGCACTTCTGCCTGAAGGAGGCCTTCAATTATGTCAAGTGGAAGAGGAGCATGATCTCACCCAGCTTTGGCTTCATGGGCCAGCTCCTGCGGTAGGAATTTGAAATCCTCCCTTCCACACCCAATCCCTAGCTTCCCTCCTACCAGGGGGAGGCAGCAGGCTCTTCATTGATAAGCCATTTGCAGACATTTAGCCCTGACTTGAAGGGTGTCTACTGCACATTCCCTGCCTCAGTGCTGGCTCCAGTGCCCACCCACTGGACAGTCTCAGAGCTCAGCAGGAGCCCTGTGGCCACAGCCACATTCTGCTAAAACTGGGATAGAGGAACAAGCCCAGCCCCAAGAGCAGCTATGACTTTTGTTTTTAAGAATGGACATTTCACATCTGTGCAATACTGAAGACCTCACTTTGTCATGTTGCCCCAGTGACATAGTGAGAGGTCACCAGGCTTGCAAATGAACTTCACACAGACCTCAGGGTAGGTTCTCAGGATTGAAGGAAGGCCAAGCAATTACAGGAGCACAGCACGTGCTGACTACTGTACTTCCAGACCCCCTGCCCTCAAGGGACTGCCCAGTCCTTGCACCTCAAAGTTCGCCTTTTCATTTCAAGCATAAGGCAATAAATACCTGCAGCAACATGGGAGAAAGAAGTTGCTGGACCAACAGAAATGGCACTTATGAAGCCAATTCATTTTGAAGGAAGCACAATTTCCACCTTATTTTTCAAACTTTGGCAGTCTCAATGTCTGTCTCCGTTGCTTCAGGAAATAAGCTGATCACCATCTAGTCAGGAAAGTAACCCTACAGGGTTTGTGGAGACATGATATATATGCCAATTTGAACCCTGAAATGTTTTTTACATACCCTCTTGGGTCCAATGGAGGCAGTTGGTTGAAGTAGCAAGATGTTGGCCTTTCTGGTTTTCTCTTTTGCTGTGGCTTCCTCACTGACCTTGGACTTTTATAAGTATGATACAAATCTACACTTGAATAAGTATGACTGTTACTCATACTTGAACTTATCTCATTGCACCTCTTCTCAGCAGCTCTTCATTTGAGAAAATATTTTTTCAGATCATAGACTAAAAAATCATACCATCAAGGTGGCGGCACCAGGTGCCAGGAGGAAAAGGGTACTTGCTGTGTATCCTGGGTCAGTAATATTGAAAACTGTCTTCTTCAGCTTCCTGTCCTTCTATGTGTTGTGTCTCTTGTGACAGTTGTTTTGTCTTCAAGCCACTGACTTCTGGAATTTGCAGATTTTGCAATCCATGCAAATGTGAAGAAAAGCTCTATGTTACTGACCATTGTTGTTGTTGTTTATAGTGCAAAGTAAAAATAGCAAAAAGGAAAAAAGATCAATGGAGGCCTTTTGGTGCTTACCACAGACTGTGCTCTTTCACTGACTGAATAGAGAGAGGAGGCAGAGTAAACCTATCCTATATACACCTCAGTCCAAGCCTGGTCTGTATTATGAATGGGGCAACATGGAAAAAGAAAATAAAATCAGCAGACCACATAAACATTTCCAGAACTTTCTTTTTTAAAAAAAATTTTATATTTCTCTTTTATCAACTACCAAGTGCTTGGGAAAAAAGATGTCCATAACTTCTAATGAAGAAACTGATGAATTCATGAAATTGCTAATAAGATTTAGCAAAACAAAAAATTAATTACATGAGATTGAATAACTAATAATGTTTTCATGACTTTTATTTAAAATACTGATGGCTCTTTACTTATATGTTTTGTTTCCCAAATTTAAGAAAATATTTTCGCTTATGCTATCTAAAGTTTTCAGCAATTTGATAAAGCATACATTTATGAACAAAAGTGAAAGCATTTATTTTTTTCTTCCTACTAAGTACCTCCAAAATTTGGAAATGACTTCATGAGTATACTTATTTTTAATGGAAATGTAATTATTTCCATAAGTTCAATAAGAATCACCTCTATAGCAAGATACAATTGGAAATATTGGTTACATTGCCATGACTTTGGAATGTCATATTTAAGGGGTTTATAGATACTGTAAACAAAGTCTAAAGTCTGTCTTGATTTGGCTACCTAGCCTCAAGGGTTTGTTGTTGTTATTTTTGAGACAAGGTCTCCCTCTGTCACCCAGGCTGGAGTGCGTGGCACGATCGTGGCTCACTGTAACCTCTGCCCCCTGGGAGGGGGAATCCAGTGATTCTCATGCCTCAGCCTTATGAATAGCTGGGAGTCAGGCTGGTGCCATCATGTCGGACTAATTTTTGTATTTTTTTTTGACGGAGTTTTGCTCTTGTTGTCCAGGCTGGAGTGCAGTGGTGCCATCTCGGCTCACTGCAACCTCCGCCTCCCATGTTCAAGTGATTCTCCTGCCTCAGCCTTCCAAGTGGCTGGGATTACAGGCATGCTCCACCATGCCCAGCTAATTTTGTATTTTTAGTAGAGATGGGGTTTCTCCATGTTGGTCTGGCTGGTCTCGAACTCCCAACCTCAGGTGATCCACCCACTTCGGCCTCCCAAAGTGCTGAGATTACAGGCATGAGCCACTGTGCCCAGCCTTAATTTTTGTATTTTTAGTAGAGATGGGGTTTCACCATTTTAGCCAGGCTGGTCTCGAACTCCTGGCCTCAAGCAATCCTCCCACCTTGGTCTCCCAAAGTGCTGGAATTACAGGTGTGAGCCACTGTGACCAGCCTCAAGAGGTTTTTAAATCTGAAATTACAATGTAGCCAGTTGTTATTCTTGATATGCTTATGCAAATGATTAGGCGAAATTTGATAAAATTGAACTAATTCTGCAAAACATTTTGTCTTTCTCTGATGATCTTTGGTAGAAATTGGGAAGACTGTGAAGAGAAAAGTTATGTTTCCAAAGAACAGCTGTAATACACCTGTTGCTAGAATATAGCCCTGTGCATTGTTTTTGAGTTTTTATTATTTGCCTGTAGAATGAACTGCATCCTAAATTTTTCTAGGTTCCCCCAATCCAGCTTTCTTCCATGTAAGTACCAAGAATTGCTGTGTTCCTGAAGCCCTGTAAGTTGAAACTAGCTGATTTTTTTTTTTTTGAGTCAGAGTCTTGCTCTGTCACTCAGGCTGGAGTACAGTGGCCCAATCAGCTTACTGAAGCCTTGAACTCCTGGGTTCAAGTGATTCTCTTGCCTCCACTTCCTAAGTACCTGGAAACTACAGGCACACATCACCATGACCAGGTAATTTTTAATTTTTTTATAGATGATGTGTCTCTTTGTTGCCCAGGCTGGTCTCAAACTTCTGACTTCAAGCCATACTCCAACCTCAGCCTCCCAAAGTGTTGGGATTACAGCTGTGAACCACAATATCCAGCATAAATGGATTTTATAAGACAAGTCTCATAGTTGATGTATGGGCCATACAGAAAGTTCACTGACCACCTGATGCCATAATCAGAGACATTAAAACTGCAAACCAGAACAAGAAGTTGATTGGCTTCATGATGTGGGCAGCTTTTCCCAAGATAATAGAACAAGACTCCCCATCACCGTGAGAATCTTGCTTCTTTTAATTTTTCCTTGTTTATGCCTACCTCTTTTACTTGGCATGATAATGACATAATTGAAATTTCACGATTGTAGCTACTGTGGGTAACTCGACAGAACCTGATCTAAGAAATCCTTTAGTGCACCTAGTGGGTAACTTTGGCAACATCCCCAACACAGGTTTTTGTTCATATTGTACTATTGGTCTTTTTTCTTTTTTTAGATAGCATTCTTGGCTTTAATTCAACCCAGTCATGGGATACCAGATGATAAAATTGCTCCATATTAGTTTTTGGTTAAATAAGAAAATGCCTGTGTTATTGCTAATTCTATGTGCTGTACCTGAACAATTTTTCTGGAGAAGTTGAGACCCAAATACACAAAATAAAAAAACAGTCCACATGGTTATAACAGACCTCACCTAGTTCCCTATAATGATTTGATTTATTCAGTTGATTGCATTTAATCCTAGGTTCATGGCTCAAAATCATTATGTAAACTGGGGTTATCATATTACTATTAACCTTGCTTTTTTTTTTTTTTTGGAGATGAAGTCTTGCTCTGTCACCCAGGCTGGAGTGCAGTGGCGCGATCTTGGCTCACTGCAACCTCCGCCTCATGAGTTCAAGCAATTCTCTGCCTCAGCCTCCCGAGTAGCTGGGATTACAGGTACCCACCACCATACCCAGCTAATTTTTGTATTTTTAGTAGAGACGGGGTTTCACCATCTTGGCCAGGCTGGTCTTGAACTCCTGACCTCAAGATCCACCCACCTAGGCCTCCCAAAGTGCTGGGATTACAGGCATAAGCCACTGCACCTGGCCTAACCTTGCTTTGTATTTTATTTTTAAAAAACTTTGTGCCCATGGCTTAACAAATTTATGCAAAAGTGCAACTCCTAAGAAAATAATTCTGGCCCAGAACTTTGGATGATAGCAAAGGCCTATGGAACAGACAAAATTGGGCTTAACAATGGACTCCAGGTAGACTTAGCCTGAGAGCCACTCCCTCTAAACCTCTCTTGTTGCTCAAATGTGGCAAAAAAGGGTTTTGCTAGTCGCGATTCATTTCCCTTGAACACAGGGCTAGACCAGACTAACAGCTCAGGACAGGTACATCTCAGCACTGAGGGACAATCAGAATCTAACTACAGTACGATTGGTTAGTGATGCTTTCAAAGAACAATCTTGATCAAAAAGGGGAAATGTAAAAGTTGTCAGAAACAAAATGAAGTCACTGTGTTAAAACCTTGACAAATGGAGCTGGGGAAGGCCACAAAGAGAGGGTTCTCATACAAGTATGCCTAATGATAAAAACTATCACACGAAAGACTCTGCAAAAACTACAAACTTGCACAAAGACCACAGCCTTACATAAAAAAATACTGTGAAGACATCTGTCCAGCAACTGCCTGACAATCTTGGACTGGGGCCACCTGTGCTATTGATCTTTGTAGCCAATGATAATGATTTCAAAACAATTATGTAATTCTCCTCATTTTTCCTTAAAAAACTCCTGTCTTCTTTTACCTCCCTGAATATGCCTTCCATATTCACTTTGCAATGCTTAGTCTCAAATAAATATCTTTTTTTTTGTTGTTTTGTTTGGCTCTGTTGCCTAGGCTGAAGTGCAGTGGCACAATCATGGCTCATTGCAGCCTTGACCTCCTGGCCTCAAGCAGTCCTTTCCCCACAGCCTCCTGAGTAGCCGGGACTACAGGCATGTGCCACCACACCTGGCTAATTTCATTTTCTTTTAGATTACTTCTCTATCTGTTATTTAGCTTTACACTTCGGTTTGTAACTCCACTTTTTGTTTTCTTTCTTTTTAAAAATTACGCTTTTCCCAAAAATACCATTCACTTTTTGTTTTCTACATGTTTTAAGAGACTAGTGCATAAGAAACAATTTAGTCTATGTTTTTGGACCCATAATACATAAACATGTAATTGTTTGACATCAGTAACTGAAAGGGGGGATGGAGCTTTAAAAAAAAAGAGTTTTTACATGTTACTGAAGTTAAATTGGTATAAATTCAAATTTGAGTGTTAAAACTTTAAGATCCTAAATGCAATTCCTATGGGAACCACAAAAAGTAGCTATAGAATATATACAAAAGGAAATGAGAAAGGAATTAAAATTATTCACTACAAAAATAATCAAATACAACAGAAGATGGTAATGCAGAAAATGAGGGGAAAAACTATAATGCATATAAAAAAAGGTAGCAAAATGACAGAAGTAAGTTCTTCCTTATCAGTAATTATTTCAAATATAATTAGATTAAGCTCTTCAGTCAAAAGATGGAGATTGGCAGAATAGACAAAAACATGAAACCCGATTCTATGCTGTCTACAAGAGAGAAATTTTAGATTAAAAACCACGAATAGGATGAAAGTGAAGAAATAGAAAAAAGAGGCTGGGAGTGGTGGCTCACGCCTGTAATCCCAGCACTTTGGGAAGCCGAGGCAGGTGGATCACCTGAGGTCAGGAGTTCAAGACCAGCCTGGCCAACATGATGAAACCCTGTCTCTACTAAAAATACAAAAAATTAGCTGGGCGTGGTGGTAGGTGCCTGTAATCCCAGCTCCTGGGGAGGCTGAGGCAGGAGAATCGCTTCAACCCAGGAGGTGGAGGTTGCAGAGAGCCGAGATCACACCATTGCACTCCAGCCTGGGCAACGAGAGCAAAAAACTCCATCTCAAAAAAAAAAAAAAAAAAAAAAAAAGGAAAAAGAAAAAGAATAAAAAAAAAAGAAAAAAGATATTCCATGCAAATAGTGACCAAAAGAGAACAGTAGTGGCTGTACTAATATCAGACAAAACAGACTTCAAAATCAAATAGGTTTACATAAGACAAAGAAGGGCATATATATTAATAAAAGGTTTAAAATAACAAGATAATGTAACAATTGTAAACATTTATGCACCTAGTAACAGACCATTAAAATATATGACGCAAAACCTGATAGACTGAAGGGAGAAACAGACAGTTCTACAAAAGACAAATGGAGAGTTCAATACCCTACTGGTAATAATGGATAGAATGATCAGATAGAGGATAAGAAAACAAGGACTTGAACAACACAATAAATCAGCTAAATCTGGCAGACATGTATAGGACTCTATATCCAGCAGCTGCAATATACACTTTTTTCTCAAGTGCACACAGGACATTCTCCAGTATAGACCATATGTCAGGCCACAATTTTAGTCTCAGTAAATTTTAAAAGATAGATAGCATATCAAATATCTTCTCTGACCACAACAGAATAGAGTTAAAAATCAATAATAGAAGTAAAACTGATAAACTGACCTTTTTTCTTTTTGGAAATTAAACAACACACTGCTATGGTCTGAATGTCCCCCAAAATTTATACGTTGAAATTTAACTGCCAATATGATAGTGTTAAGAGGTGGACAGTGGCCTGGGGTGGTGGCTCATGCTGTAATCCCAGCACTTTGGGAGGAGGAGACTGGCAGATTGTTTGAGCCCAGGAGTTTAAGACCAGCCAGGGCAACATGGGAAAACCTTGTCTCTACAAAAAATACAAAAATTAGGTGGGCATGGTGGTGCAGGCCTGTAGTCCAAGCTACTCAGGAGGCTGAAACAGGAGGACTGGTTGAGCCTGGGAGGTCAAGGCTGCAGTAAGCCATGATCAGGCTACAGGCTACTGCACTCCAATGGGGGCAATAGAATGAGACCCTGTCTCAAAAAAAAAAAAAAAAAAAAAGGGTAAAAAGGTGGATTCTTTAGGTGATTATCTCATGAGGATAGAAGTCCTTATGGACGAAATTAGAGCCCTTATAAAAGGACTTGAAGGAGTGGATTCATTCACTCCTGTCTCCTCCACGTGGGGACACAATGTTCCTCCGCTCTGAAAGATGCAGCAACGTTGTGACATCTTGGAAGCAGAGACGGGGCCTTCGCTAGACACTGAATGGGCTGATGCCTTGATCTTGGACACCCCAGCCTTTAGAACTGAGAGAAATAAATGTCTGTTTTTTAATAAATTATCCAATCTCAGGTATTTTGTTACAGCAACATGAACAAATTAAGATATATTCTTAAACAACCAATGGGTTAAAGATGAAACCACAAGAGAAATCAGAAAATACAGTTGGCTGTCAGCATCCACAGGGGATTGGTTCCAGGACCCCATAAGTAGGCCAAAATCCACACAGAGTCAAGTCCTGCAGTTGGCCCTGTAAAACCTGGGTATTAAAAAAGTAAGGCCTCTGTATCCTCAGGTTTTGCACTCTGTGAATACTGTATTTTCAATCTGCCTTTGGTTACAGATGCAGAATTCATGAAATCAGAGGACCAACTGTATTTATTGAAAACAATTACTGTATAAATGCACCCTTGCAGTTCAGATCCATGTTGTTCAAGGCTCAGCTGTACTCAGAAATGAATGAAAATGAAAACACAGTACAGCAAAACTTTGGGATACAGTAAAAGCAGTGCTAACAGGGAAATTTATAGTGTGAAATGCTTACGTTTTAAAAAAAACAAAAAACAAAAAGCCGAGCGTCATGGCTCACGCCTGTAATCCCAGCACTTTGGGAGGCTGAGGTGGGCGGATCACCTGAGGTCAGGAGTTCCAGACTAGCCTGACCAACATGGAGAAACCCTGTCTCTACTAAAAATACAAAATCAGCTGGGCATGGTGGCAGGTGCCTGTAATCCCAGCTACTTGGGAGGCTGAGGCAGAAGAATCACTTAAACCCGGGAGGCAGAGGTTGCAGTGAGCCGAGATCACACCATTGCACTCCAGCCTGGGCAACAAGAGTGAAACTCCATCTCAAAAACAAAACAAAACAAAACAAAAAACACCAAAAAGATCTCAAATTAGCAACCTAAATTTACAATTTAGGCAACTAGAAAAGAAAAAAATTAAACCCAACACTAGCAGAAGGAAGGAAATAAAGATTATTTCAGAAATAAATAAAACAGAGCATTAAAAAAAAAGGAGAAAATCAACAAAACCAAAAGCTGGTTTTTTTTTAAAGATAAAATTGACAAACTTTATAGACTGACTAAGAAAAAAAGAGAGAAGACTCAAATTACTAAAATCAGAAATGGAATTGGGGACATTACTATCTGATCCAGTCAAAATGAAAAGGATTGGCAGGGTGAAGTGGCTCACACCTGTAATCCCAGCACTTTGGGAGGCCAAGGCAGGCGGATCACTTGAGGTCAGGAGTTCGAGACTAGCCTGGCCAACATGGTGAAACCATCTCTACTAAAAATACAAAAAACGTAGCCGGGTGTGGTGGCAGGCGCCTGTAATCCCAGCTACTCGGGAGGCTCAGGCAGGTGGATCACTTGAGCTCAGGAGTTCAAGACTAGCCTGGGAAACATGGTAAAACCTGGTCTCTACAAAAAAAAAAAAAAAAAAAAAAACAAGAAAGAAAGAAAAAGAAAAATCAGCCCATCTTGGTGGCAAAAGCCTGTTGTCCCAGCTACTCAGGAGGCTGAGGTAGGAGGATCACTTGAACCTGGGAGGTGGAGGTTGTAGTGAGCCTAGATCACACCACTGTGCTCCAGCCTGGGTGACAGATGAGACCCTGTCTCAAATAAATAAATGAATAGGATTGTAAGAGAGTGCTAAGAACAATTGTACACCAACATATTGGATAACCTGGATGAAATGGACAAATTCCTAGGAATATGAACCCTACCAAGACTGAATCATGAAGAAATTGAAAATCTGAATAGACTAGTAACTAGTAAGGAGACTGAATCAGTAACCAAAAATCTCCTGACCGAAAAAAATAAAAAAAAAAAAAGCCTTGGACTTGACTTTTCTATCAAATATTTAGATAGCTAATATTAATCCTTCTTAATCCCTTCCAAAAACCTGAAGAGGAGGGAGTACTCCCTAACTCATTCTATGAGGCTACAATTGCCCTGATACCAAAGCAAGACAAAGATTTTACAAGAAAAAACTGTAGAATAATATCCCATATGAAGATTGATGTATAAAAATCCTCACCATACCCTAGGACTGTGAGGTGAAATTCATCATAGAAAAGGAAAGCCAAGCAGAAGCCTAAAACTATACCCCTAGTCTGCCTGGGTGCGGTGGCTCACACCTGTAATCCTAGCATTTTAGGAGGCCGAGGTGGGTGGATTACCTGAGGTTGGGAGTTCGAGACCAACCTAACCAACATGGAGAAACCCCATCTCTACTAAAAATACAAAATTAGCCAGGTGTGGTGGTGCATGCCTGTAATCCCAGCTAGTCAGGAGGCTGAGGCAGGAGAATTGCTTGAACCCAGGAGGCAGAGGTTGCGGTGAGCTGATATTGCACCATTGTACTCCAGCCTGGGCAACAAGAGCGAAACTCTGTCTCAAAAAAAAAAAAAAAAAAATCTCCTTAAGCTGATAAGCAACTTCAGCAAAGTTTCAGGATACAAAATCAATGTGCAAAAAATCACAAGCATTCCTATACACCAATAACAGACAAACAGAGAGCCAAATCATGAGTGAACTCCCATTCACAGTTGCTACAAAGAGAATAAAATACCTAGGAATCCAACTTACAAGGGATGTGAAGGACCTCTTCAAGGAGAACTACAAACTACTGCTCAACAAAATAAAGGAGGAGACAAACAAATGGAAGAACATTCCATGCTCATGGATAGGAAGCATCAATATCATGAAAATGGCCGTACTGCCCAAGGTAATTTATAGATTCAATGCCATCCCCATCAAGCTACCAATGATTTAACAGAATTGGAAAAAACTACTTTAAAGTTCATGGAACCAAAAAAGAGCCCTCATTGCCAAGACAATCTTAAGCAAAAAGAACAAAGCTGGAGGCATCACGCTACCTGACTTCAAACTATACTACAAGGCTACAGTAACCAAACAGCATGGTACTGGTCCCAAAACAGAGATATAGACCAATGGAACAGAACAGAGCCCTCAGAAATAACACCACACACCTACAACCATCTGATCTTTGACAAACCTGGCAAAAACAATAACTGGGAAAAGGATTCCCTATTTAATAAATGGTGCTGGGAAAACTGGCTAGCCATATGTAGAAAGCTGAAACTGGATCACTTCCTTACACCTTATACAAAAATTAATTCAAGATGGATTCAAGACTTAAACATTAGGCCTAAAACCATAAAAACCCTAGAAGAAAACCTAGGCAATACCATTCAGGACATAGGCATGGGCAAGGACGTCATGACTGAAACACCAAAAGCAATGGCAACAAAAGCCAAAATTGACAAATGGGGTCTAAATAAATTAAAGAGCTTCTGCACAGCCAAAGAAACTACCATCAGAGTGAACAGGTAATCTACAGAATGGGAGAAAATTTTTGCAATCTACCCATCTGACAAAGGACTAATATCCAGAATCTACAGAGAACTTAAACAAATTTACAAGAAAAAAACAAACAACCCCATCAAAAAGTGGACAAAGTATATGAACAGACACTTCTCAAAAGAAGACATTTATGCAGCCAAAAGACACATGAAAAAATGCTCATCATCACTGGTCATCAGAGAAATGCAAATCAAAACCACAATGAGATATCATCTCACACCAGTTAGAATGGTGATCATTAAAAAGTCATGAAACAACAGGTGCTGGAGAGGATGTGGAGAAATAGGAACACTTTTACACTGTTGGTGGGAGTGTAAACTAGCTCAACCATTGTGGAAGACAGTGTGGCGATTCCTCAAGGATCTAGAACTAGAAATACCATTTGACCCAGCGATCCCATTACTGGGTATATACCCAAAGGATTATAAATCATGCTACTATTAAGACAAATGCACGCGAGTGTTTATTTGCAGCACTATTCACAATAGCAAAGACTTGGAACCAACCCAAATGTCCATCAATGATAGACTGGGTTAAGAAAATGTGGCACATATACACCATGGAATACTATGCTGCCACAAAAAAGGATGAGTTCATGTCTTTTGCAGGGACATGGATGAAGCTGTAAACCATCATTCTGAGCAAACTATCACGAGGACAGAAAACCAAACACTGCATGTTCTCACTCATAGGTGGGAACTGAACAATGAGAACAGTTGGACACAGGGCAGGGAACATCACACACTGGGTCCTGTTGTAGGGTGGGGGGCTGGGGGAGGGATAGCATTAGGAGAAATACCTAATGTAAATGACGAGCTAATGGATGCAGCAAACCAACATGGCACATGTATACCTATATAACCAATCTGCATGTTCTGCACATTAAAAAAACTATATCCCTAGTCAAGAGAGAACAAGACAAAATGCTGCATCAAGGGGAATGGCAGAGATAAGTGACACCCTCAAGGGTCTAAAGAATGCAGCAATAGTGTCCCCATGATATTTCTGTTTAAATCACCATTCTGTCCCCTCGGGATCTGGCTGCTCTTGGTGGATGACTCTAGACCAGAGGTCCACAACTACAGATTCTGTGCCCAAATTGTCAGCTGCCTGTTTTTGTATATGGTTTTAACTTTTGTAAACAATTGAGAAAAATAAAAAGAATGATATTTTGTAGTATTTGAAAATTATGTGAAATTCAAATTTCAACAGTTATGAATAAAGTTTTATGACAGCGCAGTTGCACTCATTCATTTATGTATCTTACGGCTGCTTTTGTGATTCAAAGATCAGAGTTGAATAGTCTGGACAGAGACCTTGTGTGGTGTTCTCATTATTTCCCCTTGCTTTGGACACATCACAAACCACAGTGAGGCAACTAGCACACTACAGTGTTTCAAGTGCTGTACTTTTTGCCATGCTATGACTTTTCATTTATTTATTTTATCACACTGTAACTGTAACAAGAGAATACAATGTGTGTGCAAATTACCAGACTAGGCACTTATCACAATATTCTCAACTCATAGGAAAGCAATAATAAGGAAAATCGGAAAAGTTAAGCATATTCTTACTATTGAGTTTAAGAAGAAAAAAGAAAAGTTAAAAAAAATTAAGCAGCAATATCTCAACACATAGCTGACATTATTTTTCTTTATTTTTATTTTTCTTTTCTGTTTTTCTTTTCTTTTCTTTTCTTTTCTTTTCTTTTTTTTTTTTTTTTTTTTTTTTGAGACGGAATTTCACTCTGTCCCCCAGGCTGGGGTGCAGTGGCATGATCTCAACTCACTGCAACCTCCGCCTCCCGAGATCAAGCGATTCTCCTGCCTCAGCCTCCCACGTAGCTGGGATTACGCGCGCGCGACACCATACCTGGCTAATTTTTGTATTTTTAGTAGAGACGGGGCTTCACCATGTTGGCCAGGCTGGTCCCGAACTCCTGACCTCAAGTGATCCACCCGCCTTGGCCTCTCAAAGTGCTGGGATTACAGGCGCGAGCCGCCACGCCCGGCCAACATAGCTGGATTTCTTTTTCTTCTCCCCTCCCCTCCCCTCCCCTTCCCTCCCCTCCCCTCCCCTCCCCTCCTCTCCCCTCTCCTTTTTTTCTCTTCCCTTCTCTTCTTTTCTTATCTTCTGTCGCCCAGGCTGGAGAGCAGTGGCACTATCACGGCTCACTGCAGTCTTGACCTCTCGGGCTCCCGTGATCTCCCACTTCAGCCTACCGAGTAGCTGGGACTACAGATGTGTGCCACCAGGCTCGGCTAATTTTTTGTAGTTTTTGTAGAGGCGAGGTTTCTCCATATTTCCCAGGCTGGTCTCGAACTCCTGGGCTCAAGCGATCGGCCCTCCTCGGCCTCCCAAAGTGTTGGGATTACAGGTGTGAGCCGCTGCGCTCGGCCTGGATTTCTTCATAAAGATAAAATTGGAAATAAAATTGCAGCCCAAGTAAGCTTCCAAGTGGCTCATTTGTTCCTCAAATGAGGAAAGCCATTTGCGGATAGCGAATCAACAAATCATGTTTGTACTCATTTTCTCAGAAACGTATTCTGAGAAAATAATCTTTATGAAGAATGTTAACCTTTTTGCTAGGTGGGGTGGGACTTTGGGAAAAAACCCAACAGTTTATTAAAACAAACAAAGCAAGAAACCAAATTGTCCGGCAGAGGGCAGCATTACCCCACAGAGCCAAAACCTTTGCCAGGAGGAACCCGTGTTCATTGCCAAGATTGATTGATTTTGAGACAGAGGTTTGTCCTTGTTGCCCAGGCTGGAGTGCAATGGCGCAATCTCAGCTCATTGCAACCTCCGTCTCCCAGGTTCAAGCAATTCTTCTGCTTCAGCCTCCCGAGTAGCTGGGTTTACAGGCGCCTGCCACCATGACCGGCTAATTTTTTGTATTTTGGTAGAGATGGGGTTTCACCATGTTGGCCATTTTGGTCTCGAAATCCTGACCTCAGGTGATCCACCGACCTCAGGTGATCCATCCGCCTCGGCCTCCCAAAGTGCTGGGATTACAGGTGTGAGCCACCGTGCCCGGCTTGCCAAGCTTTATTAACTAACATTTGTGGTGCCAGGCTGTTATGGTGATTTCTTCCTATTAGCTTATTTAATCTTCATGAAAACCCTTCAAGATAGGTACTATTTTATTTTCATTTTACAAATAAGAAAACTGAAACTCAGAATGGCTAAGTGACTTTTACCTGGTTCACATATCAATTAAGGTCAAGCCTTTGGCTCCAGGACCTATGTTTTTATTGAAGTAAATGATTATAAAGTGCCTGCTATGCACTAGGCATGGTCTAAGCACTTCACATGCTTTAATTACTTTAATCTTTATGATAACCCCAAGATTTAGGTACTATTATTACCATTTCCATTGTACCGATAAAGAAACCAAGATAAAGAGGTGAAGGTGATCCTACCTTCCCAAGGGAACTCCCACTGTCAGGCTTGAGTCCACAGGAGAGGCTCTAGCTGCTCTACGTGGCAGCACTAGGGTGAAGGCAGTGAGGCTCCTACTGCTCTGGTTCTGGCTGGGTCACACATGTCGGGGATGGGTTGCCAGCTCCCTCAATAAACCCCTACCTAGTCTTCTGAGTGACTCAAATCAGGTATCTTTGGTAGAGTGGAGTGGGGAACAGTAATATATCTTTGAGTGGAGTGGGGACAGTAATATATCTTTGAGTAGAGTGGGATGGGGAACACTAATATGAGTCCCAGAGTCCCAGGATTGAGAACCTGCAGTTCTGATGTCAGAGAGCAGAAGTTGGATGTCCTAGCTCCAGAATAAAGAGCAAATTTGTCCTTCCCCTGTCTTTTTGTTCTGTTGAGACCTTCAAGGAATTGGAAGAATAATGCCTATCCACATTGGTGAGGACAGATCATTTTGACTCAGTCTAGTGGTTCAAATAGTAATACCTTCTACCCTGGGAGAAAGCAGTCCCTCCAGGGTCAGCAAGGCCCCAAGATGTCAAAGCATCAAAAATACAGAATAAAAAGGTCATAATTAACACAAGATGGACAAAAGCCTTCTTCACCCCAGCATCTAGAAGTGTTCTTTTTTTTTTGACAGAACCTTGCTCTCACCAAGGCTGGAGTGCAGTGGTGTGATCTCGGCTCACTGCAACCTCTGCCTCCCGGGTTCAAGTGATCCCCCCACCTGAGCCTCCCAAGTAGCTAGGATTGCAGGCGTGCACCACCATGCCTGGCTAATTTTTTTGTATTTTTAGTAGAAACAGGGTTTCACCATGTTGGCCAGTCTGGTATCGAACTCCTGACTTCAAGTGATCCATCCACCTTAGCCTTTCCAAGTGCTAGGATTACAGGTGTGAGCCACCGTGCCTGGTCTAAGAGCATTCTTTGTTAAAAATTTATTTTATTTTTTCCTAATTGACAAATAGTTGTTGTACATAGTCATGAGGTACCTAGTGATGTTTTGATACAAATAATATCTGGTGATCAGATCATGGTAATCAGTGTATTCATCATTTCAAAGGTTTATCATTTCTTTGTGTTGGGAACATTCAATATCCTCTTTCTCACTGTTTGAAACTATATAATATATTATTGTTAACTATAGTCATCCTACAGTGATATAGAACACTAGAACTAATTCCCCTTACCTATCTGTTTTTTTGTATCCTTTAACAAATCTCTCCCTATCCCTCCCTTCCTATCCTTCCTAGCCTCCAGTGTAAGAGTATTCTTGCTCAGGGTGGTGTGGCAGCCCCTGTTTGGAAGCCAGCAGGGAATGTGCACCCCTGTGACTGAAGACTTGAAAGTCCCCATTCCACAAGACTCAGGCTACTTGGGTACTAAGTAGGACTAAAACCAGAGAAAAAGTAGGCTGGAGCAAAATTTATTGTGCTTTTGGATAAATATCCAGCATTTCCTGTAAAATGTTACAGCAATTCCCTCATGGAATGTAACGAGACTAGAAAAGCCCTCCCAGAGATTTCCCCACCTAGTTTTGTGGAATGTAACTCAGGTGGCTGACCCAGGGTCTGAGATTTGCATAGTGACTTTTAGCGCAAAACATTACCTTTCTTGTGCCTCATCTAGCAAGGCAATTTAGCCTCACTTGTCTGTTATTATTATTATTTTTTGACTATCGAAAGCTCTCTAACAGAAGGAAATCTGAGCTGGCTCTGTTGGAAATAGCTTTCCTTGTAGTCAGGGTGAAATAAACTTCTGTCATGAGCTTGCTATCAGTTCACCTGAGAGATATGTTTTAACACCTAAATAGGTTCATTTAACCAACAAGGAAGTGCTTCTTCTTTTCTGGACACTGCTCCAGTGCTGGGATTCAGAGACTGACCCCATCCTTGGAGCAAGTGGTTAAATAACAGAAGACATAAAAATAAATCAATAATCACAAAACATGTTACAGATGTTTAAAGAACAGTGGAAGCCCAGAGGGAGGGATCAGTAACTGCCTGGTGGCATCCAGGAAGAGCTCAAGGAACTAACATGTTGACAGAGTTTTGAAAGGCAAACTTAGACACGAGGAGGCAGATGCTGGAGGGGAAAAGGTGCAGAGGCATTGAATCTTAAACACACTTGCATCCACGCCAGAAGCAGTCGGGGATGTAGGATGCTGGGAACTTCACAGTTGCTTGGCCTGTGGGAGCCCCTCTCTCACCTTGTTCTTCTAGTTTCTGACTCCAGGCCTCTCTCTGGCCTGTATCTCCATTTATCCCTCCATGTTGGACTTGATTCTGGGAAATCGACCCATGTTTTCAATGACTACATTTGATGTTACCTTTGATCAATACTATTTTTAAATAAAGCAATAAAGTGATAAATACAGCCATATCTCTGGTTAAGAACTTATGAAAAGTTACTGGAGTAGAACTAGAGTCATACTTGACTCACCAAGATTTTTTTATTGTATTATTTAAAAATGATACAATAAAAACCATAATTGTGATATTGTCATATAATAAAAAATAAAGGTTTGGTCTTTGGTCCAGGTTCCTGGCACAGAGCTTCTAAAACTGGTGGAATTTCCTGAGTGATAGTCTTTTGTTATTTATAGTAAGCCTCTTCAACTGTACATGAGTTTATGCTGATGAGATAACTCCTGGTGGTTGCCAAGATAGCTTTAGGATGGGACCTGGTTGCCAGAGTGATTAGAGGGTTACTCACCAATGGCCGATGATTTAATCAATCATACCTATGTAATGGAAGCTCCATAAGACCCCAAAGCAATGGGGTTGAACAGCTTCCAGGTTAGTGGACGCATCCACTTGCTGGGAGGATGCCACACCCCAGCTCCACTGGGACAGAAGCATCTGTGCTTGAGCATCTTCTGGACCTTGCTGTATATACCTTTGCACATGGCTGTTCATGTGTATCCTTTGTAATGGACTGGTAAATGTAAGTAAAATGCTGAGTTCTGTGTGCTCTTCTAGCAAATATCCAACCTAAAAAGAGGGTTGTGGAAATCCCCAATTTATAGCCAGTTGATGAGAAGGATGGATGGCCCCAAATTGCGATTGGCATGTGAAGTGGGGGCTGTCTTGTGGGACCAAGCCTTTAACCTGTGAGTTTCAAGCTAACTCTTGGTAGATAGTGCCAGAGTTCAATTGTAGAACACTTAGCTGGTGTCGGAGAAATGGTCGGTGAGGGCAAACCACCACACACATTTGGCATCAGAAGTGTTCTGTGGGCAGAAACAGATCATAGTAGCAATAACACAGTGCTAAGATGTCATTAGTTGTGAGACACATCCTGATTTCACAGGCACTAAATTATAAAAAGAGCTTTGTCTTAGAATCGATAAAATACACCATCTCGACAGCTGTGTCTGGCTGCTCGCCCAGCCCTGCTACCACCTGCAGGCCTCTAGGTTGCTCATTTCTGATCTAACTTTGACCTCCCTGCTGTCCTTTCAGGCCTACCTGGAAGGCTTGAGCCAGCAGACTAGCTGCCTGTTCTGGCATAGTGTCACTTTTCTCCTCTTCTGACTTTCTGTCCTATCGCAGACATGACAAGGTTGGGGAATCCCAGGAACCCAGGCCAGCTGCAGAATCAGGCAAGTCAGGGACAGATGGTGGCCTGAATGAAAAGGGGCAGGATGGGCCTTGATGGTGTCTGAGATTCCCCCGATGTAGGAAGTGGGTGTCCCTGGAGGGCACTAAGCAGGGCAATGCCATGTTTGTGTGAAACTTGACAACAGGGATTGGGCAGGCAACAGGTGTTTTCTCTAGGCTTGTAAAAACAGGAGTTAGGTAGTACACTGGACTTGAACTTCTACAAGGAACACCACAAGAACCCAGTCCCCCAACCCCTGGCTGTTCCTGCTAGCAGGGTCCTAGGGCTGCTGAAACATTTGCAGTGTGGTTCTTACTGGTGGTTTCATCACAGGAGTTGGACAAGCTGCTTCCTCCCTCCACTAGTCATCACTTCTCAGCTTCCTCCAGGCCTCAGGCATTGCCTGGGTGATGCTGAGCCTGGGCCAGCAACACAGTCTTGGTGGTTCATGTTTCTTGCATTACAGCCTCTGTGCTTTTTTGGATGGAATGTTTAACTTGGAAAATAAAAGCTCTCACCTCCTAATTTTTTCTTCTGAGAGCCAGCACAGCTAAACCTAAGAATGTTTTTTCTGCAGGCTATAACTGAAGGACTGAGGTAATCCATGAGCTTTTATTAAGCCATGTCGCTGGTTAAGAACTTATGAAATGTTATTGGAATAGAACTAAAAGGCCTTAACTTGCTTGAGTAAAATTTTAACTTAGATGTAGTCTCCTAATTCTTAGACCTATGGTGTGTCATGTCTACCTTACGGGTACTTTTTCTGAACCTGATAATAATGGCATGACCGTTTAGTATGGAGAAGAGTATAATTTCCTAAAAATTAATATCATTTTAGCTACTTCATTGTGAAGTGCATTTCTGCCCAGAATTCTCTCAAAGTCATAGTGATGCTTAAAGGATGCAGTTTGTTCTTTGGTGCACTTCAAACTGAAAATCATAAGGGTGCTGAGATAGTGATTAAAGAACGACCACAAGAATATAAACATGAAGTTCAGATAACTAGTTGCTTTTGAAAACCTCCAGGCTCATACACAGTAGCCAGTCAAGTGGGTTAAACATCAAGCCCTTATGGTGGGCCTGGCCTTGCTCTTGGCAATGGGATAAATAAAGTTGCTGCTACTAAGAATCTCATGCAGAATAGTAAGTAGGTAAGTTAATGGCAGTACTGGTAAGAGCAGTAAAGAGGATGAATTAGAATCTTGTGGGGCTGATTTAGATGGGGTTGGGGGTCAGGAAAGACCTCTCTGAAGAAGTGAGAACAGATCCATTTATTTTAACTTAAATGTCAGTTAAAACCTGAGAACAGATCCTTGTCAAAAATGTGGCCCAGCCCAGATAATCATTAAGGCCACCCCCTTTCCTCAGCAGAGCTAGATTAGGGGCCTCTTCGCTAGCTGGGCAGTTGCCCAGAGCACTAATAATTAAGGAGAACAGAAACATCAACTGGAGGAATTCAGCAAAATGTAAATCAGTCCTTCCAACAAATGATGAGAATGTCCCAATGGAAAATAAAACTGAAGAGTGAACACCATCTCTTACCTCTCAAGGTCTCTCCTTTAGGATGGGTCAAGTGTTAGGAAAAGCCAACCTAAAAAGCATAAGAAGAGTAGCCACTTAACAGACCAGTTCTACATTCTTCTGGAACATTCTATGATGACTTACTTGGATGAGATCTTCCTACTTCCTCATTCCCAGCATAGATGTTGATATTGTTTGGCTCTGTGTCCCCACTCAAATCTCATGTCGAGTTGTGATTCTCAGTGTTGGAGCAGAGGCCTGGTGGGAGGTGACTGGATCATGGGGGCGGACTTCTCCCTTGCCGTTCTCATGATAGTGAGTGAGTTCTCACAAGCTCTGGTGGTTTAAAAAGTGTGTGGTACTGCCCCCTTTACTCTCTGTCTGTTGCTCCACTGTGGGAAGAAATGCTTGCTTCCTCTTCACCTTCTGCCATGATTGTAAGTTTCCTGAGGCCTCCCTAGCCATGTCTCCTGTACAGCCTACAGAACTGTGAGTTGATTAAACCTCTTTTCTTCATAAATTACCCAGTCTTAAGTTGTTGTTGTTGTTTTTTCAGATGTAGTCTCACTCCTGTTGTGCAGGCTGGAGTGCAGTGGCGTGATCTTGGCTCACTGCAACCTCCACCTCCCGGGTTCAAGTGATTCTCCTTCCTCAGCCTCCTGAGTAGCTGGGATTACAGGCAGGCATCATCATGCCCAGCTAATTTTTGTATTTTTAGTAGAGACAGGTTTTCGCCATGTTGGCAAGGCTGGTCTCAAACTCCTGACCTCAGGTGATCCACTCGCCTTGACCTCCCAAAGTTCTAGGATTACAGGTGTGAGCCACCATGCCTAGCCTCAAGTAATTCTTTATAGCAATGTGAAAACAGACTAATACAGATGTCTTATGGTCTATTTCTTAAGAAATAAGGTGGTAATTTTTATTATTTTTAAATATGGAAAATGTGAATTTAAAAATATGACAATCGGCCGGGGGTGGTGGGTCATGCCTGTAATCCAAGCACTTTGGGAGGCCGAGGCAAGTGGATTACGTTAGGTCAGGAGTTTGAGATCAGCCTGGCCAATGTGGTGAAACCCCGTCTCTACTAAAAGTACAAAAATTAGCCCAGCATGGTGGTGGGTGCCTGAAATCCCAGCTACTCATGAGGCTGAGGCAGGAGAATCACTTGAACCTAGGAGGCGGAGGTTGCAGTGAGCTGAGGGCCACTGCACTCCAGCCTGGGTGACAGAGCAAGACTCCATCTCAAAAAAAAAAAAAAAAAAAAAAAAGAGAACTAAGTGAAAAGGATTGATGGAAATATTTTCAACTTTAACACCGTGATTTCTAACCAGTGGACACTAAGTGGTCATCAAATCCATATTTGTACCAGGTATAGTCTTAGTGACTTTATATGAATTTATTGCCATTTTTCAAAATAATATAGATCTTGTGATTATACATTTATCTAGTTATATAACTGAGTTCTGTTCTTGTACATTCTTTTGAATAAATGTATACACCAAAGAGAAAACTATCATGTAGGAGTCAGCCATGTTTATGTAAGTGTGCACACTGGTGCACATGCACACAAATCAAAAGAGTTCCTGAAACTTAAGTGAATGGAAATGATTGTGCTTACATATATGCCAAACATTCTTCTAGAAAACAGAGCAAAAAATCTAGGGCCTTCATTTTGATATAATTGCATTTTCATATATATACACACATACATGTTTTTGAGATGGAGTTTTGCTCTTGTTGCCCAGGCTGGAGTGCAATGGTGCAACCTCAGCTCACTGCAACCTCTGCCTCCCGGGTTCAAGCAATTCTCCCACCTCTGGAGTAGCTGGGATTACAGGTGCCCGCCACCAGACACAGCTGATTTTTTGTATTTTTAGTAGAATTGTTGTTTCAACATGTTTGCCAGGCTGGTCTCGAACTTCTGACCTCAGATGGTCCACCTGCTTCGGCCTCCCAAAGTGCTGGGATTACAGGCACGAGCCACTGTGCCCAGCCGCATTTTCATATTTTAAAAGAAAATTTTAATAGCACAAAGTTAAACCTTTGTAACTTAAATTTGAAGTCGGAATTTAGGTGGGTCAGCTTGATCTTTCCAGTTAAGTCAAAAACTACTGATAAAAATGTGAGAATGAGATGTATTCCCTCAAAGATGATGATGCACATGCCCAAGTTTAATACTGCAGTAGTGGGGAGTGGAGAAATTAGTTTAAACTACCTGGATACACTATTTTCATAAATCACCTTTGCCATCACCTCAGGAAGTTTGAGTTTTTCTCCGGGGGTATGATCCAAACTTGCGTTGCCATAGCATCCAAGCCTTTTTCAGTGGTTTTGTCTTACTGTGTTACTACGGTTTCCCACTGCCTAGTATTACCCAGCAAGAGAGTACTGAGACAAAGTCAATGAATTGGCTGGGTTTCAGGCAGATTACTTCTTACTCCCTGCAGGTAGCAGCAGCCCGATTTCCACCTGTAATTGGGATGAACTGCCACAGCTTATTCTTTACTTCTTGTCTAGTGGCACAAGTAACCCTAAATGGCTAGGGTAGTCTCAACTTCCAATTTTATTTTTACTTGATTAAAAAAATTCATATTGAAATATACGTGCCCCAAATGCAAATGTTTTAAGCATAGAACCTGGCAAACTGGCAAACATACACACTTGTACTCATCACTCAGATCAAGAAATAGAACATTCTTAGTATCCCAGAAGCCCCATCTGATCACTTTTCCTAATCTTTTCTTCACGGGACACCACTAATCTAACTCCTTAAACCACACATTAGTTTTGCTTGTTCTTGATCTTTGTAAAATGGAATCACAGCATGCATTCTTTGTGATAGTTTTCTTTAGCTCAACATTATTTTGGTGAGATTCATTCATGTTTTTGCAGTTGTAAGTTGGTTTATTTTCATAGCTGCTTGAATATACCCCAATTAATTTATCCATCCACTATGAGGGACATTAGGGGTGTGATATGGTTTGAATTGGTGTCCCTGCTCAAATCTCATGTTAAATTGTAATCCCCAGTATCGGAGGAGGGACCTGGTGGGAAGTGATTGGCTCATGGGGACGGATTTCCTCCCTGCTGTTCTTGTGATCATGAGAGAGTTTTCAAGAGAGCTGGTTGTTTAAAAGTGTGTAGCACCTTCCCCTTCACTCTCTTCCTCCTGCTCTGGGCATGTAAGACATGCCTCCTTCCTTTTCACCTTCCGCCATAATGTAAGTTTCCTGAGGCCTTCTCAGTCATGCTTCCTGTATAGCATGCACAATTGTGAGCCAAATAGACTTATTTTCTTTATAAATTACCTAGTCTCAGGTAGTTCTTTATAGCAGTGCAAGAACAGACTAATACAGGGTGTTTACAGCTTTAGGTTATTCTAAATAGCATATGTCTTTTGGAGCACATGTGAATACATTTCTATTGAGCGTATCTAGTGCTACAGTTGCTGGGTCATAGGAAATGTGCATGCTCTACTTTAGTAGATCCTTCCAAAGAATTTGTCAAAAGTGATTGTACCAATTTACGCTTCCCATCATGACAGTTTTAGTTTTTCCGCATTCTTGCCAACACTGGCTTTTGCATTTTAGTTACTCTGGTGGAACTATAGTGGAAGTGTTGTGGTTTTAACTTGCATTAATTTGATAACAATTGATATTGAGTTCCTTTTCATGCATGCATTGGCCATTTGAATATCCTCTTTTGTGAAGTTATATATCTTGGCCATTTTTCTATTTGTCTTTTCTTATTAAGTCTTCCTTTGTCAAATATATACTGCAAACACATTCTCTTGTCATTTAGTTCTCTTAATGCAATCGTTTGAGGTTCCTGATTTTAATTTAGTCTAATATACACATCTTTTCCTTAGTGTTTAGTACCTTTTTTTTTTTTTTTTTGAGAGGGAGTTTCACTATTGTCACCCAGGCTGGAGCGCAGTGGTGCAATTTCGGCTCACTGCAACCTCTGCCTCCCAGGTTCAAGCGATTCTCCAGCCTCAGCCTCCTGAGTAGCTGGGATTACAGGTGCCTGCCACCACACCCAGCTAATTTTTGCTTTTTAGTAGAAACGGAGTTTCACCATGTTGTCCAGGCTGGTCTCAAACTCCTGACCTCCAGTGATCTGCTTCCCTCGGCCCCCCAAAGTGCTGGGATTACAGGCATGAGCCACCGCACCCCAGCTGTTTAGTACCTTTTGTACCCGCTAATAAATGATTTCCTACCACAAGGTCATGACTGTATACTTGTATATTATATTCTTTTTTTTAAATTTTTTTTTATTTTTAAGACAGAGTCTCGCTCTGTCGCCCAGGCTGGAGTGCAGTGGCGCGACCTCGGCTCACTGCAAGCTCCGCCTCTCGGGTTCACGCCGTTCTCCTGTCTCAGCCTCCCAAGTAGCTGGGACTACAGGCGCCTGCCACCATGCCCGGCTAATTTTTTGTATTTTAGTAAAGACGGGATTTCACCGTGTTAGCCAGGATGGTCTCAATCTCCTGACCTCGTGATCCGCCCGTCTTGGCCTCCCAAAGTGCTGGGATTACAGGCGTGAGCCACCGTGCCTGGCCTCCTATATTATATTCTAAGAACCTTTATTGTTTTACTTTTCAAACTTAGATCTGCAGTTCACAAGGATTGATATGCTTGCATGTGATTTAAGTAGGGTTCAAGTTTCATTTTCCTCCTTATTGATATGAAATTGAAGCAGCACTGTTTCTTGAAAAGATCATTCTTCCTCAGGGTTCTGCAGTGTCTCCTATCACAGATCAAGTGTGCATAGGAGCATGGGTCTGTTTATGGAATCTCTATTTTTTCCCATCAGTTTATTTTATATCCTTGTATTTATACTAGATAAATTTTAGTAGTGTTAGTCCTTGAACTATCTCCTCCTTCTTCTACATTTTTGTAGCTACTTTTGTTTATTTCCACAAATTTTAGATTGACTTTTAAATTTCCACACACAGACACAAAAGCTATTGGGATTTTGTTTGAGATTGCATTGAATCTATAGATAAATTTGTCTTTCCCATAGTGACTCTTTTTCAATCCTCAGGCAAAGTACATACCGCTCCATCTGTTGCATTTATTTATGTTTTCTTTAATTTGCTTCAGTAATGTTTAATACACTTTTGTGTAGAGGTATTCCACACTTTTATTACATCTATTCTTGAGAATTTGATGTTTTTAAAAGGCTATTATAACAGATTTTTCTGTAATTTAATCTGTAATGCTCACTGCTGCTATAATGGATTTCATATATGAAAACTTAACAAAACTATTGGATTTCATATTGGTATAATGATTTTATATTCAGAGATCTTACAGGAGTTTATATGATTGACCTAAAAAGAAGAAGCAGAGGCAAAATTAATACAGAGATTTTATTTGGACTAGGGTTTAGGGCTGCAGCCCAGGATACACTTTCAGGTTTCTTTGGAGAGTGATCCAGAGAACAGAGGAGAAACTCAAGTTTTCAGAAAAAAAAAAGGAAAAATTAGGAGAAGAGGCCATTACAAAAGTTATTCATCAGGAATTTTCACTGGTTTACAGAAATAGCATATATGGCATGTTATGGCTACTTGGTTTCAGTTAGTCTAGAGCCCACATAACAAGTGGCTTCAAGAGGTAATTATTTAGTTCCAAGGGGAGTGAGCTATGACTGCTGTAACCGCCCCCCCCTTTTTTTTTTAAAGTGACAGAGTCTCCCTGTGTTGCACCAGGCTGGCCTTGAACTCTTGACCTCAAGCAATCCTTTCACCTTGACCTTCCAAAGCACTGAGATTACAGGTGTGAGCCTCAGTGCCTGAACCTTACTCTTATATTTTAAATGCCTCTCTGGGCCTGATAATTTAAAGGGGTTCACATTCCTCAGATTAAAAAAATGTTTTTTGTTTGTTTGTTTGTTTTTGCCCAGACATGGTGGCTCATACCTGTAATCCTAGCACTTTGGATTTTGGGAGGCTGAGATGGGAGGACTGCTTGAGGCCAAGAGTTTGAGACCAGCCTGGTCAATATGGTGAGTCTCCATCTCGAAAAAAAACTGTTTTTTAGTTTCTCAATATGTAGATTCTTTTGGACTCTATCTCTCTCTATATATTGTCACACACGTCCATGTGAGGAGACCACCAAACAGGCTTTGTGTGAGCAACAAGGCTGTTTATTTCACCTGGGTGCAGGCAGGCTGAGTCTGAAAAGAGAGTCAGTGAAGGGTGGTGGGATTATCATTAGTTCTTGCAGGTTTTGGGATAGGCGGTGGAGTTAGGAGCAATGTTTTGCAGGCAGGGGGTGGATCTCACAAAGTACATTCTCAAGGGTGGGGAGAATTACAAAGAACCTTCTCAAGGGTGGGGGAGATTACAAAGTACATTGATCAGTTAGGGTGGGGCAGAAACAAATCATAATGGTGGAATGTTATCAGTTAAGGCTATTTTCACTTCTTTTGTGGATCTTCAGTTGCTTCAGGCCATCTGGATGTATGCATGCAGGCCACAGGGGTTATGATGGCTTAGCCTGGGCTCAGAGGCCTGACATTCCTGTCTTCTTATATTAATAAGAAAAATAAAATGAAATAGTGGTAAAGTGTTGGGGCGGTGAAAATTTTTTGGGGTGGTATGGAGAGATAATGGGTGATTTCTCAGGGCTGCTTCAAGCGGGATTGGGGTGGCGTGGGAACCTACAGTGGGAGAGACCCAACTGAAGAAAGGTTTTGGGGTAAGGGGTGATATTGTGGGGTTGTTAGAAGGAGCATTTGTAGTATAGAATTATTGGTGATGGCCTGGATGTGGTTTTGTATGAATTGAGAAACTAAACGAAAGACACAAGGTCCAAATAAGAGAAAGAGAAAAACAGGTATTAAAGGACTAAGAATTGGGAGCACCCAGGACGTCCAATTACAGAGTGTCAAAGGGGGTTCAGCATAATTATTTTCTTGGTTGGCAAGTTTTTGGGCTCTATCCTTGAGTTTTTTTTATGTTGTCATATACCAGGCCAGATTGATTTAGGTAAAAACAACACTCTTCATTTACAAATATACAGTCCCCCCCTTTTTTTTAGCAGTGAGTAAGTCAGGGCCTCAGCGATTTTGGAGGAAAGTGAAATGCAAAGCCAGCAATTGTTTGTTAAAGAAGGATTAGAAACGGCTAGGAGAGAGTGAATTTGATAGTGTGGTGGAGATAGCTGCGGAGAGGTAGAAGGTGGCATAAGAACGGGAACCAGAATAAGAGTGAGTATAAAAATAAAGAATAGGACTTCATCAGGGTGAAAGTATTGGAGGGTACCTTGCCACTGAAGATCTTCTATCCAATTCAAGAGAGGCTTAAGGGTGGCGATTTGAGGTAAAACCAGGAGCCACTAAATACCAAGAGCCTGAGAAACTGCTTGGGTGATTTGACTAATAAAGGCAGGCCCGTTATTGGACTGTATATAGGTGGGAAGGCCAAACTGAGGAATTACGTCTGACAAAAGGGAAGAAATGACTGTGGTGGCCTTCTCAGACCCTGTGGGAAAGGCCTCTACCCATCTAGTGAAAGTGTCTACCCAGACCAAGAGGTATTTTAGTTTTCTGACTCGGGGCATGTGAGTAAAGTCAATTTCCCAGTCCTGGGCAGGGGCAAATCCCCGAGCTTGATGTGTAGGGAAGAGAGGGGGCCTGAACAATCCCTGAGGAGTAGTAGAATAGCAGATGGAACACTGAGAAGTGATTTCCTTAAGGATAGATTTCCATGATGGAAAGGAAATGAGAGGTTCTAAGAGGCGGGCTAGCAGCTTGTAACCTACATGGAAGAAGTTATGAAATGATGATAGATTAGAATGGGCCTGTGAGGCTGGAAGGAGATATTTTCCTTGGTCCAAGAACCATTTGCCTTGTGTGGGAAGAGGTTGATAGGTAGAAGTTTCAGTCGGTGAGTAGGTGGGAGTGACCAATGAGAAGGAGAAAAACTGGCCGTGAGGGACAGAAGTTGGAAGGCTAGCTGCTTCTTTAGCTACCTTATCAGTATAAACGTTGCCCTGAGCGATGGGATGTGATGCCTTTTAATGGCCCTTGCAGTGAATGACTCCAGCTTCCTTTGGAAGTAAAGCGGCCTTAAGAAGAGTTTTTATTAAAGAGGCATTAATGATGGAGGACCCTCGAGTAGTGAGGAAACCTCTTTCAGCCCATAAAACAGCATGGTGGTGTAGGATATGGAAGGCATATTTAGAGTCAGTATAAATATTGATACGTAGTCCTTTTGCAAGAGTGAGGGCTCGAGTTAAGGCAATGAGTTTGGCTTGCTGAGAGGTAGTGGAGGAGGGCAGAAAGTATATGCATCAGGTGTGAGGAAGAAAATAGATTTTGGAAGTTATGAGAACTGTAGAGAGTGAGTTGAGCATAGTTTGTGATTTTGAGGGTCTCTAAAAGTATTAAGGCAGTGGCAGCCACCCCACGCAGACATGAGGGCTAGGCTAAAACAGTAAGGTCAAGTTATTTGGACAGAAAGGCTACAGGGCGTGGTCCTGGCTCTTGTGTAAGAATTCCAACCACATAGCCCTGCACTTCGGCTGTGTGTAATGAAAAAGGTTGGGATGAGTTAGGGAGAACTAGTGTGGGAGCAGATTTTAGGGCTGTTTTTTAAGGAATGGACAGGGGAGTGTGGAAAGGATTTAGGATTTATGGGGTCAGCTAGGTTTATCTAGAACAGAATAATGGGTTGTGGAGGGAGGTATTGAGGATAGGAGAATATATGGGTTTGGCACCATGGGGTGGATAGGCAAGACAATTTTGTTGATAAGGCGCAGATCCTGAACTAAAATGTAAGGCTTGTCCAGTTTTTGGACAGGTAAAATGGGGGAATTGTAAGGAGAGTTTATAGGCTTTAAAAGGCCATGCTACAACAGATAAGTGATAACAGGCTTTAATCCTTTTAAAGCATGCGGTGGGATGGGATACTGGCATTGATCGGGGTAAGGGTGATTAGGTTTTAATGGGATGGTAAGGGGTGCATCATCCATCCTCAAGGAGGGAGTAGAGGTGGATTAAGGTGGGGAGATACAAGGAGAGGATGTGAAGGAGGCTTTGAACTGGGGGAAAAGGGCGGTAATGAGGTATGGCTGTAGCCTAGGAATAGTCAGGGAAGCATGTAATTTAGTTAAAATGTCTCGAGCCAATAAGGGAGCTGGGCAGGTGAGGATAACTAAAAAGGAGTGCATAAAAGAAAATTGTCCAAGTTGGCACCAGAGTTGGGGAGTTTTAAGAGGTTAAGAAGCCTGGCTGTCATAATCCACAACAGTTATGGAGGCAAGGGAAACACACCCTTGAAAAGAAGGTAATGTGGAGTGGGTTGCCTCCGTATTGATTAATAAGGGGATGTACTTACCCTCCACTGTGAGAGTTACCCAAAGCATCTGTGATGGTCCAGGAGGCTTCCGAGGTGATCCGGCAGCATCAGATCTGGAAGGAGTTGGCCAGGGAACATTGGGTTTGGGCTCCAGGGGCTTCAGGAGCAGCAGCAATGTGAGTCGGACAGTCTGACCTCCAGTGGGGGCCTGCACAGACAGGGCACGGCTCAGGAGGAATCCCGGGCCGTGGGCATTCTGAGGCCCAGTGGCCAGGCTTTTGGCATTTGAAACAAGGTCCACGAGGATGTTTTTAAGGAGCCTCTGGGAGCTGTGGCTTGGATGTTCTGAAGTTTTTTTGTATGCTGGAGATGTGGTTGTGGGTTGTCTTACAGCGGAGGCAAGTAGCTGTAACTCAGAAATGCGTTGCTGTCTGGCCACCTCCTCTCTATTATTGTACACCTTGAAGGCGAGGTTGATTAATTCCTGTTGTGGGGTTTGAAGGCCGGATTCCAATTTTTGAAGCTTTTTTCTAATGTCAGGAGCTGACTGGGTGATAAAATGCATATTAAGAATAAGGTGACCTTCTGGTCCCTCTGGGTCTAGGGCGGTAAAGCATCTAAGGATTTCTGCTAACTAAGCAGGCCATGAACTGGGCTGGGTTTTCATCTTTACCTTGGGTAGTTTCTTTAAGTTTGTCATAATTAACAGCTTTGTGAGCTGCCTTTTTAAGCCCTTCAACTAGGCAAGAAACCATGTAATTTCGCCTAGCTATACCTGGGGAATCTGCCTGATAGTTCCATAGGGGATCTTCTCAGGGAACTGCTCTAATGCCTTCCTGGAGGTCTGGCTCATGAAGCCGGTGATTATCAGCGTGAGATTGGGCTAGAGAGAAGACTCTTTCCCATTCATCTGGGGAGAGGGTAGAAGTTAGGCTGACATTTAAGTCTCTCCAGGTTAAACTGTAGGACAGAGTTAGATATTGGAATTCCTGTATATATTTATTGGTGTCTGATGAGAAAGAGCCTAAACGCTGGCTGATTTGGGAAACGTTTGGTAGAGAAAAAGGCACATGTACTCTGACTATGCCTTCAGCTCCAGCCACCTCTCTAAGAGGAAATTGTTGGGCAGGAGGGGGAGAGCTAGTCGCAGAATGAAACTGTAAACCAGACCGGGTGTGGGAAGGGGAGTTAATAGAAGGGTTATAGGGTGAGGGAGCAGAGGCTGAAGAAGAGTTGGAGCCTGATTCAGCCTGGCGGGGAGCGAGCTGAGGAGGAGCAGTCTGGGGAGGAGGTGAGGGGTCAGATGGGTCAGCAGAAAAGGAAGATTCACAAGACTCAGTGACGACTGGGGTTGAGACTGAAGGGACAGGCGGGAGGGAAAGAAGGAGGATTTGGGATGAGTCGCATTGGGAACAGAGACTAAGGAGGGAACAAAGTGTGAAAAATGCCTGGACGTAAGGCACCTCAGACCATTTGCCCTTTTTTCGACAAAAAGTATCTAGGTCTCGTGGGATGGAGAAATCGAAAGTGTCATTTTCTGGCCATTTAGAACCATTGTCGAGTTTGTATTGGGGCCAAGCGGTGTTGGAGAAGAAAATAAGATGCTTAGATTTTAGGTCAGGCAAGAGGTGAAGAGGTTTTAAGCTCTTGAGAACACAGGCTAAGGGAGAAGAAGGAGAAATGGAGGGTGGAAGGTTGCCCATAGTAAAGGAGGCAAGTTTAAAGAGAAGGGTAGAGACACGGAGAAGCGGGGTGGGGAGCAGTCCTGGGCTGCAATGTGGGTGAGCAGCCAAAGCAGGTGTCCCCACAATTGACTTGCCACCAAGGGAATGTGGGTGAATGACCAAGGCAGGCATCCCCGTGGTGATCAGACACCAATGGGGTGTGGGTGAATAATCAAGCAGGCACACCCTGCAATGATTAAACACCAAGGGTAGGCTGTCTTCCTAAGTTGGTGACTGGCGCCAGAGTTTTGGGTCCATGGATAAAATGTGTCTCGTTTGTCTCTATTAGAGAGGAAAAATAACTGGACTTGGAAGGACAGGGAGATTGAAGGGTAGGGAGAGAGGCTGGAGAAGAGAGTGAAAAGACTGTTTACCCGATTTGAAATTGGTGAGATATTCCTTGGGCTGGTTGGTCTGAGGACCTGACGTCATAGGTGGATCTCTTCACGGAGTGAGGGTGAGGACAGGGGACTGGTCTCCCGAAGGAGTCCCTCTGACCCGGGTCTTCAGCACCAAATGTCTCATGCTTCTGTGTGAAGAGACCACCAAACAGGCTTTGTGTGAGCAACAAGGCTGTTTATTTCACCTGGGTGTAGGTGGGCTGAGTCCAAAAAGAGAGTCAGCAAAGGGTGGTGGGATTATCATTAGTTCTTGCAGGTTTTGGGATAGGCGGTGGAGTTAGGAGCAATGTTTTCCAGGCAGGGGGTGGATCTCACAAAGTACATCTCAAGGGTGGGGAGAATTACAAAGAATCTTCTCAAGGGTGGGGGAGATTGCAAAGAAACTTCTTAAGGGTGGTGGAGATTACAAAGTACGTTGATCAGTTAGGGTGGGGCAGAAACAAATCATAATGTTGAGTAAAGAGGAAAAGGCAGATCAATAGAAACACAAATAAAAACCTCACAACATAGAAACAGAAAACCGGACCCACCACCATCCATCGTCATTGCCACTTATATAAATATCAGTAAATTTACTTGTAATTCTAAAGGGAGTATGGGAAGGGAGTTGGATGTCACTCAAATCTGACACTGAAATCTCAGATAAGACACAGAGAGGTTGAGTCAGAGCAATGGAGATGTGGGGGTGAGTGGAGTGAAGTAGCCCCATGGTGCTTTGACTTTTCTCAAAGGCAAAAGGCAGCCCCATGAGCCCCATACTGTATATCTTCTGGTTAAGCTCATTAGGAGAGGATGTTAACTGTTTCTCAACCACTAATTTCAGTAAGTGAATCAATCCTTGTTGAGTTGAATGCCCAGAAGAAATTGCCACCCTTGGGATCTGGGCTGGAGTCAACTACACCTGACAGATCTTGTACCAGTTAAGATTTTAACTCGGTTCTGAGTCACTGAAAACCCCATAGGCAGCCACTGAACTAATCATGGTTTGAAGGAGGCATTATCTGATAGCCACAGAGGCAACCGGTCCACCTGTCTTCCACCCTATTGTCTTCTGGTCACAGGACAGGCATTTCACCCCTAGCATCCTGTTTGCATTCTGGAAAGGGAGAAGGAGAAATATGAAGTTTATTTGGTGGTACTATTGTGGGAATAGCCAAATACATCGATGGAGCTTACTTAGGAGATAGGATCAGGTAGATATTGAGATTTTACATATGATATATGTGGGATAAATTATCCAATCAGTGATGTTGGAACAACAAATTTTCCATTTGGGAAATATACTAAAATGATAGAGGAAAATGTTTTTGAGTTCTTGATTTAATGAATGTCTACTTAAAGAAAAAACCCCCACAAAATCCATAAAGGAAAAAATAGACAAATTTGCTGACAGCATAATTTAAAAAATTTCTATAACAAGGACACTCTTTAACAAATTGTAATTGATGATGGCAAAATCCAAATTTTTCCAAAATATTTTTAAAGAGGTTTATTCTGAGCCAATATGAGTGATGGCAGCCAGAGTTGCACGGTTTCAGGAGGTCCTAAGAAACTGTGCGGTGGGGGTGGGCAAGATGGATTTCCCCACGTTGACATTTTGAAAAGATCCCCGTGTCTGGCTGCCTGTGCAGCATGGGAGGGAGAGGGGTCAGGGTAGGTGTGCCTCCATGAGAACCAGATCCTTAGAAGACAATTGGAATGATGGGTCAGAAACTATGGACATGGAGAAAACTGAGGATCTGTGGACTTGGAGATCATAGAATCCCAGCGTATGCCTGTGGTTGAAGACTGGTTTTTGTTTGTTTCTTTCTTTCTTTTTGAGACGGAGTCTTGCTCTGTCGCCCAGGCTGGAGTGCAGTGGCATGATCTCGGCTCACTGCAACCTCCAGCTCCCAGGTTCAAGCAATTCTCCTGCCTCAGCCTCCTGATAGCTGGGATTACAGGTGTGTGCCACCATGATGGTCTAATTTTTGTATTTTTAGTAGCGATAGGGTTTCACCCTGATGGCCAGGCTGGTCTTGAACTGCTGACCTCAGGTGATCCTCCCGCCTCAGCCTCCCACTGTGCTGAGATTACCCATGTGAGCCACTGCGCCTGGCCAGTTTGTTTTTTGAGACTAGGTCTCATGTGTCATCCAGGCTGGAGTGCAGTGGCAAGATCTGGCACATTGCAACCTCCACCTCCTGGGCTAAAGTGATCCTTCCACCGCAGCCCCCTGAGTAGCTGGGACTACAGGCGTGCACCACCATGCCCGGCTAATTTTTGTATTTTTTGTAGAAATGGTGTTTTGCCATGTTGGCCAGGCTAGTTTTGAACTCCTGGGCTCAAGTGATCCACGTGTCTCGGCCTAAGTATTGGGATTACAGGCGTGATCTACTGTGCCCTGCTGACATAACTGTTAATATTAGTCCTTTTCACTCTCAGAATCGTTCCTGTTTGGGTGCTAGATTTTGCAGCCACCCCCATAAGGCAGGAAAAAACATGCAGGCTCTGGTAATAGAGTAGTTGTGAGGGTGAGGGAGAAGGAACCACAAGGATGACTTCCAGTTTCTGGCTTGCAGACCAAAAGGGAACGTGGTGCTGTTCCAGGAAACGGTCCCGATAATAGCTCAGACCCTAAGA
The DNA here is from genome assembly GCF_000001405.40 of Homo sapiens. NCBI lineage: Eukaryota > Metazoa > Chordata > Mammalia > Primates > Hominidae > Homo > Homo sapiens. The sequence goes on from NW_018654708.1 coordinate 261,861, forward strand.
GAGTGTTCTTGATCTTGTGTAAGAAAGAATTCAGGACGAGTTTGTAAAGTGAAAGCAAGTTTACTAGGAAAGTGGAGGAATAAAAGAACGGCTACTCCATAGACAGAGCAGACCAGCTACTCCGAGAGCTGCTGGTTGCCTATTTCTATGGTTATTTTTTGATGATATTCTAAACAACGGGTGCATTATTTATGTCTCCCATTTTTAGGCTATATAGGGTAACTTCCTGACATTGCCATGACATTTGTAAACTGCCATGGTGCTGGTAGGAGCGTAGCAGTGAGGATGACCAGAGGTCACTCTCATTGCCATCTTGGTATTGGTGGGTTTTGGCTGGCTTCTTTACTGCAGTCTGTTCTGTCAGCAAGGTCTTTATGACCTGTATCTTGTGCTGACTTCTTATCTCATCCTGTGACTTAGAATGCCTTAAGTGTCTGGGAATGCAGCCCAGTAGGCCTCAGCCTTATTTTACCCAGCCTCTATTAAGATGGAGTTGCTCTGGTTCCAATGCCTCTGACAGTAGGAATTTGGGAATGAGTTTTAACAAATACTTGGAAACTGAAACTCAGAGTGAGAGACTAGAAAGAGAGCAAATGCTGTAAAGAGAAATGACCACAAAGGGAAATTAGGAGAAACAAAACTGGAACCAAATGGAGCACCATTCTCTGGATGGTTGATTCTGTGAAAAATTAAAATGGAAATCTATTGAGCATTTGGAGCCAGAGAATGATAGGATACTGCTCTGAGAATTTACTGGGGAATTTGAGAGTTTTAGAAGATAACTAAAGTATTCAGAGACTCATGAAATGACTGTATGTGAATATATATCTTCCTGTTAAAATTATATATAGGTTAAATGTATTTCTGTTAATCAAAATTAATCTTCTCATTGACTTACATTCTAATTGAAAAACCTCTTTGTTCTCCTTTAGTGAAACCCTTAATCAGTAGCATTTGACACTCAGAACTTTTTTGTCTACCGACTCCTTTCTCTTCAAGAGTTAATCTAGTGCAACCCTTAATTATCCCCAGAGCTATTATTAAAAGAATCTGTAAATGGAAGCATTTTTAAAGCCAAGAATCTTAGTAATTTTATTCTGATCAGAGTTTATAAGATCAGAGTTTTACACTTTGACATCTTATTATATGAAGATGAAATAAAACCATTAAGAGGAAACACAATGTAAGTTAGTGATCAGACTTTTGTATTAGTCCATTGACCCCAAAATCTGACTTGCTTATAGGGTTGTGTTATATTTGAGTTTTAGTTATAATTTTGCTACTTATTAGATTTAGAGGAATTAGTTAAATCTCCCTTATCTTCAACTTCTTCATGAATAAAATAAAAATAACTAACTCATGAGGTTTCTATGATATTTAAATGAAACAATAGCTATATAGTGATTAGTACTTTGTAGTTACTCAATGTGTTTTATTAACTAATATTATTATAATAAAGAGTTTCTGTTTGAGGAGATGAAATATTTTGGAAATAGTGGTGATAGTTGTACAACATTATGAATATAATTAATGCCATTGAATTGTATGCTTAAAATTTCTAAAATGGCAATAAAACAATAAAAATATATAAAATACAATAATTACATATTTGCAGTTTAAAACCTATTATGTTTGACAATATATTTCTGAATTTCAGTTTCAGAAATCTAGAGGAATACTCTCCTACACCATGAGACAACTGATATTTAGTGCAAGCCATGGTGAGCACTTGCCCTCTTTTAGTATTGGGTCGGTGCAAAACTCATTGCGGTTTTTGCTATGAAAAGCAATGGCTTTTTAAAGGTCTGGTCTGGCAACAGAGTCAGCTCTTAAAATGTTAAATTCCTAACTTTTAAAGCCTTGATAATCCCAACCAAAAAGCAAGGGAGAATTTTTTTTTGAGAGGGAGTCTTCCTCTGTCTCTCAGGCTGGAGTGCAGTGGCGTGATCTTGGCTCACTGCAACCTCCGCTTCCAGGGTTCAAGTGATTCTCCTGCCTCAGCCTCCCAATAGCTGGGATTACAGGTGTGTACCACCACATCTAGCTGATTTTTGTATTTTTAGTAGAGAGGGGATTTCACCATGTTGGCCAGGCTGGTCTCGAACTCCTGACCTTAGGTGATTCACCCTTCTCAGCCTCCCAAAGTGCTAGGATTACATGCGTGAGCCACCGTGCCTGGCCGGCAAGGGAGAATTTAAGGAATTATAAAAAATTATAGTGAGCTGACTAGTAGGGGATAGAGTACACAAAACTCATTTTCCACTATTTGAGTGAACAATTGTTTACTCCTCTGAAAGCACCTGTGGGCTTCACTGGCCCGCTCCACTGACCGGCACTGCCTCCACCCAGACTTGCGGGAGTGCTCACCCACCTCAGCGTGACTGTCCCTCCCCTCTGTACTCTTCTCTCTATTCCCCAGTTCCCAAGAGTTATCCCTTTCTTTTTTTTTTGGTTACCAAATTTCTTTATTTGAAGGAATGGTACAAATCAACGAACTTAAGTGGATGTTTTGGTACAACTTATAGAAAAGGTAAAGGAAACCCCAACATGCATGCACTGCCTTGAAGAACTTTGCCAAATACTTTCTTCACCAATCTCATGAGGAGAGGGAACATGCTGAGAAACTGATGAAGCTGCAGAACCAACGAGGTGGCCGAATCTTCCTTCAGGATATCAAGAAACCAGACTGTGATGACTGGGAGAGCGGGCTGAATGCGATGGAGTGTGCATTACATTTGGAAAAAAGTGTGAATCAGTCACTACTGGAACTGCACAAACTGGCCACTGACAAAAATGACCCCCATTTGTGTGACTTCATTGAGACACATTACCTGAATAAGCAGGTGAAAGCCATCAAAGAATTGGGTGAGCACGTGACCAACTTGTGCAAGATGGGAGCGCCCGAATCTGGCTCGGCGGAATACCTCTTAGACAAGCACACCCTGGGGGACAGTGATAATGAAAGCTAAGCCTCAGGCTAATTTCCACATAGCCGTGGGAGTGACTTCCCTGGTCACCAAGAGTTATCCCTTTCTAACATATTGTTCTCCCCCTCTCCCTCCTCTGCTCCATCTCCCTCCCTCTGTCCCTTCCTTCCTTCTGTCCTTCCTCCCTCCCTCCCTCCCTCCCTTCCTTCCTTTCTTCCTTCCTTTCATTTGAGTATTGTTTCCACCCCACCCTCACCCCACAAAATGTGAGCTGTACAAGAGCAAGGATTTTGTTTGTTTGTTTGTTTGTTGTTCACGGATGGGTCCCAGGTGTCTAGGACAGTGCCTGGTTAACAGTACATGCTCCATGAAGATGAGCTATTGTGACTTGGGGTTTTCTGGAACTGTAGCTGGAACCAACCCTAACCTGTTACAGCTCTCCACTCATGCCTCCCACTGCCTTTTGAAGAAGGCCATGTTGTTAATGTTGTTAAGCTGCTGTCTAAAGGACATGAACATGAATTTTTTCTCTGTAGCTGACACAGGTTTCCCCCGAATCCTTCCACTGCCTCTTTCATGTGTGAAGAACAGCAGACATTTGTGAGTTGGCAGCCTATGGACTGAGAAATGTGGACTGCAGCCATAGAATGGAGCAGATTTCCAGGGCATTTGGGTTGCAAATCTCCCATTTTGACCTCCTTAGCATCGTGCTCTATTATTTAACCCCTCCTTCCATTCCTCCCATGTCTGCCTGCTGTCACTTAAACAAGGGAGTCCACCCAGTGTGGGGAATCGTGCCTTTCCTGCAAACCTTCCTGCTGATTTGTGTTCTAGCCCAGGCTCATGAATTAGTTCTGCTGAGCCTGGCCATGGCCAGTTGTAAAGTGCTGTGTGTGCTGATACCAAAAGTTATGTACAAAACACCAAGAAGTCCCAGGATTGGTACTGCCTTTCAGTATTTGTCCAAAATGGTGCTTTTCTCTGCTTCCCTGGTCAAGCAGAATGAACAGGTCACCAGCGCAGGTAGAATTCTCTCAGTGTCACTGTGGTCCTTGCAGGTCAGCTGGATTTGTCAGTTTAGCTGAGTGTGTCCAAAGACCTCAGCCTCCCTTCTGATTTTCAAACAGAGAAACAAATATAAAGCTACATATGGGTGTGTGAGATGAGACTGGCAGCAGTAAAGGTGGCACTTTGAAGAGGCTCTAGGGAGACAGAATGGACAGTAATTTTAAAGTGACTTTGGGAAGAGGCACCACTGACCTCTCCTCCTTCTCCGCCTGAACAGTCCCTTCAGAAGCTGCTTTTCCCTCACTTCCGTCTCCCTCATCCCTGAATAACCCACACATTTGGAGCTTCTCTTCCCACTATCTTCTAGCTTTTGTAGGTTTTTTCCATCTTATTCCAACATGAGAGGCAAAGGACCCTGAGTTTGTCAGACCCAACCCTCGAAGAAGCCGAAGAGTCAAACAAAAGAGGTCATATGTAATCTGTAGTAGAAGCCAGACAATGTGAAAGGGTAAATCCAAAGGCCATTGGAACTTCTGGATCCAGATAGGGCCCAGCAAATGTGTAATAAAGTCAGCAGTGAGAAACGCGATTGGGACATGATACTTCCATGACATCAGTAGCTGTAATCAAGCTGAATCTGCCTGTTGATCCCTATGGAAACTGTCTGCTGACTGTAGTGCTGCTCTATTTTGTTGTCATTTCAGGGCTACAAATGAATATGCAATCACTTGACTACTTTGTTTTAAGCCAGGGGTCCCCAACTCCTGGGCTGCAGACAGGTGCTGGTCTGTGGTCTGTTAGCAACCAGGCTGCATAGCCGGAGGTGAGCAGTGGGTGAGCATTACCACCTGAGCTCCGCCTCCTGTCAGATCAGCAGTGATATTAGTCTCACAGGAGCTCAAACCCTATTGTGAACTGTGCATGTGAGGGATCTAGGGTGCTGGCTCTTAATGATAATCTAACTAATGCCTGATGATCTGAGATGGAACAGTTTCATACCGAAACCATCCCTACCACCCCTAGTTCGTGGAAAAATTGTCTTCCACGAAACTGGTCCCTGGCAACAAAAATGTTGGGAACCACTGTTATAAGCCATCTGTGAACCATGAAATGTTTGGGTCAGTCTCCTGAGACTGAAAATTTAATCAAAATTTCAGCAAGAACTTTCTCTTCCCACACTTTCCAGTGTGCCTGAAACCGGAATTTAAAAAAAATGTAATTGGAGCACGCAGAATCAATTCTTAACGCTGTTTCAATGTGTCCTTTCCCCCAAACAATACACTTAAGACATTTACTAAGTGTTAAAGAGCTACCTCTCTGTACTACTTGCTGTAATTTTCTTTGATCAGACTGATTTTTATTTAAAAGATTTGTTTTGTTTGTTTGTTTGTTTTTGTTTTTTAGAGCAGGAGTGAAAGTTTATTAAAAAGCTTTAGAGAAGTAAGGAAAGGAAGAAAAGGAAGGAAGGTACACTTGAAAGAGGGCCAAGTGGGCAACTTGAGAGACCAAATGCTGAAGATTAGTTTGTTTGTTTTTTTTTTTTCTCTTTGAGATGGAGTTTTGCTCTTGTTTCCCAGGCTGGAGTGCAATGGCATGATCTCGGCTCACCGCAACCTCCGCCTCCCAGGTTCAAGCAATTCTCCTGCCTCAGCCTCCTGAGTAGCTGGGATTACAGGCATGCACCACCACGCCTGGCTAATTTTGTATTTTTAGTAGAGACGGGGTTTCTCCATATTGAGGCTGGTCTCGAACTCCTGACCTCAGCTGATCCGCCCGCCTTGGCCTCCCAAAGTGCTGGGATTACAGGCGTGAGCCACCAGGCCCGGCTGTTTGGTTTTTTTTGAGATGGAGTTTTGCTCTTTTGCCCAGGCTGGAGTGCAGTGGCGTGATCTCGGCTCACTGAAACCTTTGCCTTCTGATTTCAAGCGATTCTTCTGCCTCAGTCTCCCGAGCAGCTGAGATTACAGGCGCCCACCACATAGCCTGGCTAATTTTTTTACTTTTAGTAGAGACGCGGTTTCACCATGTTGGGCAGGCTGGTCTCGAACTCTTGACCTCATGATCTGACCTCCTCGGCCTCCCAAAGTGCTGAGATTACAGGCGTGAGCCTCCGTGCATGGTGGAAGATTAGTTTTAAAAGAGTGTATCACATAGTGCTTAAGTACTGTGTTTTGTGCTTTTATGTTGTCATTAATAGTGCCTTCAAATTAGGGAGGAAACGACTTAACTCAGTTACTTGTAAAAGTTTGGTTGTGAAAGAAGCTAAATTAACTGCGAGGATTCAGCTTATAATTTTTTTTTTTTTAAATAGACTTTATTTTTCAAAACCTCTTTAGGTTCCCAGAAAATTGAACAGAAAATGCAGAGAGTTCCCATATCCTCTTTCCAGGCCTCCCTCACTATCAGCATTTCCTACAGAGTAGTACGTTTGTTACAATCAATAAATCTATATTGACACATCATTATCACCAGTCTGTAGTTTACATTAAGGTTCACTCTTAGTGTTGTACATTTTATGGGTTTTGACAAATGTGTAAGGACATGTTTCCACCACTACGGTATCACACAGAGGAGTTTCACTGGCCTAAAAGTCATCTGTGCTCCACTCACTCATCCCTCCCTCCCTCCCTCCCTCCCTCCAACTCCTGGCAACCACTGATCTTTTTATTGTTTCCATAGTTTTGTCTTTTTCAGAATAGCATATACTTGGAATCTTATAGTGTGTGGCCTTTTCAGATTGGCTTCTTTCATGCATTTAAGGTTCTTCATGTCTTGTAGAGGCTCAATAGCTTATTTCCTTTTAGTGATGAATGATATTCAGGATGTACCACAGTTTACTTATCCATTCACCTACTGAAGGACATCTTAGTAATTTCCAAGTTTTGGCAATTATGAATAAAGCTTCTATGAATATCTATGTACAGATTTTGTGTGGACATAAGTTTTGCAGGCTATAATTTTTCATCCTTAATCCTCAGTATCTAAGAACAGTGGGTAAAATTTGACCCAAACAGTACAGCTATAAATCTAGTTTCTGCTATCCCCTCTCACCAAGGCAACCGTTTCAAACGTTAACAAAGTCAATATGAAGGTTAAAAGAATCATGGCAGAAGTATTTAATCATATTATCCAAAGTTTATTGTACTTGGGAATGATTAGACTTAGAGTATCCATTAAGTACAGACTAAATGCAATCATGAACTTCCTCTTTGACTGCATGAGACCTTCAAAAATGCAGTGGTTGCTTTTAACCATAAATACTTTAGGCTGTAATTATGTACGAAGTAATGAGTAAATAGCTTGCATAAGCACTTTTACAAAGGGTAGAACAATTGGACCACAAGGTGGTGCCCAAGATATTTTAAATTCAGATCCTGGTGTCAGGTGAGCACTGAAAACCCAAGACTGGAAGATGAGTAGAATTAGAGCCAACAGATACTTGGAGCAGAAAATCCAATGTGTGTTTTAATGAAATGTATACATTCTTCTAAAATATCATCTTTCAATGATCATTATTACAGATTAAACATTTTAAAACTGCCCAAAGACTTTATGAAATCTTTTATTTTCTAGTTTTCTTCATATTATTCTTATTTGCCACCATGCCCTGGCCCAACTGTATTGCCATTAAAAGATCACAGAAGACCCTCTGCCTTGACACTTGCCACATACCTGTCCCTGCTCTGTGCTGAGTGAAGAACTTACTTGGCCACAGAGATTAGAGATAGATGGACTTCCCTTTCTTGTGTTTCAGATGCTACTTTTCTGTTTTTTGTTTGTTTTTCTTTTCTGGCGATTCTAAAATTTTTTTAAAAATATTTTAAAATTAAGACAGGATCTTGCTATGTTACCCAGCCTGGTCTTGAACTGGGCTCAAGCCATCCTCCCACCTTGGCCTCCCAAAGTGTTGGGATTACAGACATGAGCCACCAGGTCTAGTCCTGAAATCATTTTTTACAACGTTTATGGATGTGCCCTATGGATACTAGATTTAAGAAAATCTAGTATCATTAAAAATCAAAACTTCAAATAAAGCAATTAGGAAATGGGGATTTACATAACAAAACAGTTGTTGATAAAGTTGTTACTAAAGACCTCCTTTAAACTATCAAGCTCCCCAATATATTATTATATAAAATTGCATTTATGAAAATTAGATTTATATATTGCTTTGCAGGGACACCCACCATACACACTGAGCAGATGCCCAAAACCGTACTGTGAGTCTTGGTTTTCATTAAGAAGGGTACAACAAGGGCCTTTTCAAAGGGAAAGTTTAACAAGATAAACAAGTATTCTCTTCGGTAATAATCCTATGGGTTATTAACCTATAACTTAAAAAGAGAAAGAAAACAATAAATAAAGGTTTTTCAATAAGAATAAATGTTGTGAAAATAGGTACAAGGCAAGGTGTTTTTTATTTGCAATTTGTGTTGCTGACACCTGATTCCAGCCACTTGAGGTGACATAGCAGAGTTACAGCGTGAACTGACTGCTGCCTACGTGCCCTCACAATAGGTTTCCAGGCTGATAAAGCACTTCAAAGTTTTATCTTTGATCCTCAGATAGGATGCAAACTATTTGAAGTGTGGTAAAGGAAGATATTAACACACATTCAAGGAAAAAGACATTGACACCCAGCTGAAATATAGAAGTCCCATCATTACCTCAGGTTAATAATTTTTTTTTTTGACACAGAGTCTCCCGCTATTGCCTAGGCTGGAGCACAGTGGCGTGATCTCAGCTCACTGCAACCTCTGCCTCCCGGGTTCAAGCGATTCTTCTGCCTCAGTCTCCCGAGTAGCTGGGACTACAGGCACGCGCCACCACGGCCGGCTAATTTTTTGTATTTTCAGTAGAGACGGGCTTTCACCGTATTGGCCAGGCTGGTCTCCAACTCCTGACCTCATGATCGGCCCTCCTTGGCCTCCCAAAGTGCTGGGATTACAGGCATGAGCCACCGCTCCCGGCACCTCATGTTAATAATTTTAAGCTAACTGACAACTGTGAAGCTAAAAGAAGATGATTTTTAAAGTTAACATTAACTATTAACCAAGGTAGTATTCTTTTTTACCCAATAACAGGTGATGAATGAAATTAAAGCATTAGAATAATACTTTAGAGCTAGAAAGAACAAACTTTTCTATCAAAGATTTGACTTTTATAGAGATTGTCCATGTTCTACAAATTGGCTTAAATAAGATCTTAATTCTAGACAGTGCCAGAACCAGATCTCAAAATTTGCAGTTCAGTGTTTTTTTTCCATCACTCCATACCCATTTGAGTTGTCCAGGACAGACATTTCTTTCCATAAAGTATTTAATCAGCTATTGTTACAGCTCAGAGCAATATTATTTCTTTGTAGCTAGGTGACTTGCACACATTGTTTTTCAGCAATTGGAGTGGATACGGTTACATTTAATAACAAAACTAAGATTTCCAGACATAATATGCAGATACAGAGATCATTTTATTTCTAATCTGTGTTATGGTTAGAATAGTGGCCTGTTTTTAGTCTTGCTTATTTTTTTCTTCAACTTTTATTTTAATTCTGGGGTCCATGTGCAGGATATGCAGGTTTGTTACATAGGTAAACGTGTGCCATGGTGGTTTGCTGCACAGGTCATCCCATCACTTAGGTATTTTGCCCGGAATCCATTAGCTATTCTTCCTGATGCTCTCCCTCCCCTCCCCTCAATAGGCCCCAGCTTGTGTTGTTCCCCCACAGGAGTCCATGTGTTCTCATTCGGCTCCCACTTATAAGTAAGAACATGCAGTGTTTGGTTTTCTGTTCCTGCATTACTTTGCTGAGTATAATGGCTTCCAACTCCATTCACATCCCTGCAAAGGACATGATCTCATTCCTTTTTATGGCTGCATAGTATTCTATGGTACATATGTACCACATTTTCTTTATCCAATCTATCATTGATGGGCAGTTAGGTTGAGTCCATGTCTTTGCTATTGTGAACAGTGCTGCAGTGAATATACGCATGCATTTATCTTTTGATTTATATTCTTTTGGGTACATACCTCGTAATGGGATTGCTGGATCAAATGGTATTTCTGCCTCTAGGTGTCTTACTTATTAAGTACAACATTATGATAATTATTTTACACCTCCAAGATCATGTATAGAAACAATAGGAGGAATATAAATGATAATGAATAGGTTTTATTTATTTATTTATTTTGAGACAAGGTATCACTTTATCATCCAGGCTGTAGTGCAGTGGCGGGATCTCTGCTCTCTGCAACCTCCGCCTCCCAGGCTCAAATGATCCTCCCACATCAGCCTCCCATGTAGCTGAAACCACAGGCATGCACTACCACACCCGATTAATTTTTGTATTTTTGGTAGAGATGGGGTTTTGGTATGTTGCCCAGGTTGGTCTCAAACTCCTGAGCTCAAGCGATCCACCCACCTCAGCTTCTCAAACTGCTGGGATTACAGATGTGAGTCACTGTGCCCAGCTAAGAGTAAGCGTTTTTGCCTAGTAAAAACACAAACTGTTTTTTTCTCTGATCTCATCCCACAATAATCAACACAGAAGACTTCTGGGACCAATCTCTCACATACCAGCAAACAATCAATTCTGTAGTGGACACCATCTGGGTATCCTCCAATTCAATTCTGGTAGTACCTGGAGATAGCATCAAATCCCTCAACCTCAGATTGAGGGCTCAGTCACACAAGACTGCCCCCCACTTTCAATGTCAACCACAAGCCCCAGGTTGCTTCACCTGTGTTTCTATGACTTGGGGTTCCACCACTTCCTCCTTGAGTTTGGTTAATTTGCTAGCGTGGCTCACAGAACTCAGTTTACAGGTTCATTATAAAGAATATTACAAAGGATACAAATGAAAGGGTGTGAAGGGGGTGCAGGTATGACGGAAGGGGCAGAGCTTTCATGCATTTCCAGGGTGAGTCACCCTCCATGTATTTGTTTGGCTATCCTGGAACTCTCTGAACCCAGTCCTTTGGGTTTTTATGGAGGATTCATTATGTGGGCGTGATTGATTAAACCCTTGGCCAATGATGACCAACTCAACCTTCAGCCCCTCTTCCCTCCCTGGAGATTGGGGGATGGCGCTGAGAGTACCAGCCCTCTAATCCTGCCTTGATCTTTCAGGTGACCAGTCCTGAAGCTGCCTAGGGGCTGCCAGCCATCAGTCAACTCATTAGCATAAAAAGACACATCACTTTGGAGAATCTAAGGATTTTACGAATTATATGCCAAGAGATGGTATATAAACCAAATATATGTTAATATTTAACAGTATCACAATTTGAAATTTAGGAAAATAGAGAGTAAAGAAAGCCTGTTTTGAACAAACTAATAGTAGTTTTGTTAGAATTTGGATAAATGTTTTCCCTGCTTTTCTCTTTCCCCTCTATTTTTTCTGCATTATTTTATGTATATGAAAGGTATACAATTAAAAAAAAAAAACAAAACGAAGTCCCTTAGAAACATTTACTCTGAGGCTGCTTTACATCCAAGGAGAAGTAGAAGAAATTTACTCACACTCAGTAGAGATTTCCAAATATTAAATCTTGAGGGTTTTTTTTTTCCATTTCTTATTCATTAGCAGAACAGCTGAATCATGATGGTTGAGATAACTGATAAAATTTCTATTGCTTTTTTTGTCTCCTTGGAAGGAAGGTGCTTTGTAAGGTATTATTTGTTTATGTTTAAGAACTTATTTATTTCTCCTCTTAGTAGTTTATTGTCTAACCAAGTGCTTTTAGATATCTTTCTTTTTGTTTTTTGAGACAGAGTCTTGCTCTGTCACCCAGGCTGGAGTGCAGTGGTGCTATCACAGCTCAGTGCAGCCTTGACCTCTCAGGGCTCAAGCGTTCCTCCCATCTCAGCCTCCCTAGTAGCTGGGACTACAGACATGCACCACCATGCCTGGCTAATTTTTGTGTATTTTGTAGAGGTGGGGTTTCACTGTGTGCTCAGGCTGGTCTCGAACTCCGAGGCTCAAGCGATCCACCCGCCTCGACCTGCCAAAGTGCTGGGATTACAGGAATGAGCCACCATGCCTGGTCATGGGTATATCTTTGATCATTCCCACAGTATGCCAAAAGCAATGACTGACATTATTGATGAGATTAATAAGTAAAGAAAGTTGGCATATAAGAAATAATAAACCTTAAGACATGAGAGAGTAAAAGTCCCCCTGAAGTTTGAATTCCGAGGTCTACATATTCCTGGTGTCAGTGCTCCCACCAGATCTGACTAGATGGTTTGATGATCCTAGTTGGCTCAGGATCACATTGCCAGGCCACCAGTATTACTGAAAACACAGGACAGTTAGATGTAATAAAAACAAATGTTTTGACAGCCTTCTGCATGCTGAATATGCTATGTTCTTGTCTTTCAAGAGACATGGCAACTGCTTGAAACACAGAGATGTGTCAAAACTTTCATATTTACTTTAGGATTCAGAGCTCCCCCAGGAATGGCAAGTTGCATATCCTGTAATGAAATTTTATCTTGTGTAAGGCACAAACGCCCTGAATATTCATTCCTTTTGTTTTCTTTTCTGCAAAGAGACAAGCACAGAGACCCAGAGGAAAGCTTGGCCTGGAGCCAGCACAGGAGTCAGATGTGATGTGTGGTTTGGATTTTTAGAGAGCGTTTCCAGCATCTGCTTGCTTGGTTGACCAATAGTGTTGGGCAACAATCAGTAAGGCCGAGTTGCCAGGACTTCTCTAGGGCAGTGCAGAGGAAGGAATTTAAGGGACGGAGAGATTAAAATGCTGAAATAGGTTTATCGTGCTGACTGGCAGCCTCCTTGTCCCCAAATCCAGAGGGCATCCCCTTCTCTAAGATGCTGAGAAATGCACCGATGAGGGAAGACCCACAACCTTGAAGAGCTCTGTAGTCACTGTTCTCAGGCCTGGTATTGGTGGAAGATGTTGCCATTGAAATGTGCTCCCTGATTTTAGAGGACAATGAAATCCCAGGGACAGTAAAACCACCAAAGGCCAGGTGGGCAAATGATTTTCATGGGTAGTTAGAACTAAGCAGTAATCTGAGTGTTTTGTACCACAAGATTTTTGGGGTGACTAGTTTGTCACTGTATCCTTAGGAATGAAATAGGTGGGCAGCCTAGCTTGATCTACTTAATAGCAATCATTTAAGTTTTGTTCCAGTTATCTATCATTTCAAAACTTAGGAGGTTGAAACAATGATTAATTGTAATTTCAGACATTCTGTGGGTGGTTTGTTTTCTTTTTTATTTGGTAGAACATGCATAACATAAACTGACTATTGTAATATTTTGACGTCTACAGTTTTACAGATCATGCATTTCTTTGAGGTTTTTGTCATTCTAGTCAAAGGGAGACCATTTGACATTTTATGAATGGTTGTATGAAAACATTTAAAACTTTTGAGAGAATACAGTGTACCAGAGAGACTACTATTATGACTATTAGGAAGATAATACCAAGAGTTTGAAGTATGTTCCTTAGCCAAGATCCCCATAAACAAAACCAACTAAAATTAAATGATCAAAGAATGAGCTAAATACAAAGTCTACTTGTTTTAACCAAGCAGTCTGTTTGTTAATACCTTAGAACTATGTCTCTATAATACCTGATGTATTTATCTATGTGTAACCAGAAGTGTCAGTAACTGTGCAGATACTTTTCTGTTTAGCCAGCAAGTAATCTAGAGCAATTCTATTATTTACCACCATTTTAGTATGAGAATTTAAAGAAGTCTGTTGTGTAACCACAGTCTTTGCAGAAGAATCTATTATACAGCCTTGTAGAAATTTATGAGGGATACATTTTTAACTTTTGTCTCATTTACTCTAAACCATGGAAGAAAAGACCTAACAAATCATGCCCATCCAGAAGAGTGAAGGCCTCCTGGCAATGTTCTTATAGACAAAGGTTAAGAGGAGTGGACCAATGTTTTGTTTTTGTCTGATCATGAAGTAATGAAAGTACCATTAAATTTTTTCCCCCACATCGGCCCTTTGTCTTTCCTTTATTAAGGCATAAAGTTGTCCATGTATAAAGTTGACTGTAAAATCTTTCACAAATAAAAGTATACCACATGAGTGTATACAAGACCCCCTTTCTTGTTTTATTGTTTATAGAGGCATATGTAAGGAAAAAATTAAGAGATAAGAGTGTCTTGATAGTAGAAAAGTTTTGTTGTAGTGTGGGTGGCAAGAGTAGTCTTTCTCTGATTTTGTTTTCCAAAAGACCCAATCTCAGGGTTGTAAATCATGAAGAGTTTGGTTATCCTCAGTCGGTGGGCTATGAAAAGTTTTTTTTTTGTTTTTTTTAACCTGGTGAAAATATACTCTGGCATAATGTATTAAAGCCTTACCGGGCTGGGTAGGGTGGCTCACACCTGTAACCTCAGCACTTTGGGAAGCTGAGGCAGGAGGCTGAGGTGGGAGGATTGCTTGAGGCCAGGAGTTCAAGACCAATCTGGGCAACAAGAGTGAGACCCAATTTCTACAAAAAATAAAAAAAATTAGTCAGGGGTGGTGGTGTGTGCCTGTGGTCTCAGCTTCTTGGGAGGCTGAGGTGGGAGGATCACTCAAGCCCAGGAGGTTGAGACTGCAGTGAGACATGATTCCACCACTGCATTCCAGCCTGGGTGACCGAGAGAGAACCTGTCTCAAAAAAAAAAAAAAAAAAAAAAAAAAAAAGCCTGTAGCATTTAGTCATATAGAGTTTAGGAGCAGAAGATACATGAGTTTCTGTTATTAGAAGCATAGGCCTTCAAGTGATTATTTCATAAGAGGCCAAGTTATATTTTCCATGAGAAGAGGATCTGATTGTCATTAATCTGTAAAACCTTTGATCAAGGCAATCCGGTCAATTAAGTTAGCTTTGGCTAATGCAATTGTATCTGTAGTGACTTATTTAACTGTTTTATAACGTGTCTAGTGAAACAAGTACCTTTATTGGTGGAGATTTTTCTAGGAATGTCCCATAAAGAAAAAATATGTCCTAATAACCTTTTAGTTACTATTATAGCATCAGTTTTCTTGCATGGGAAAGCTTTCATACTACCAGAAAACAGGCATTGAAAATGACAGTTGAATGAAATCTCTCTATAAATCTTTAGTTGGCCTATCAGATAGCAGAATATACCTAAAGTTTTTATTATCTTTCTAGAATTATAGGTTTAACAAACCAAACATTGATATTAAGACCGTTTTAGTAATCTACAACAGTCACTAAAATTATGTATATAATTTGGATAGTTTTATCTTTTTTTATAATGAGTCATGGATATAGAGCTTTATATAATGGAAGTTTTAAGGACTCAGGAAGAACCAGGTAGCCATCCAGGTTCTCCATGAGTCTACGCTTAACATTTGATTTATATCCTCTTAACTACGAATTTTGTTTCTCTAATTTAGGTGCAAAGCACTGTTTATTAGATAAGTTATCATAAGTAATTTGACTTGAACAATGGAGTTCATTTAAACTGCATATCTAAACAATTTTAGTACTGGCTGATGTAGCATGAAAATCTGGCAAAGTATTTTCTTGGTATTCAATTAATTTTTGTCTTGCTTGTGTTAGCAGTTTCATAAACCAGTCAACCCCTTTGTTAGAGTTCTGGGAATTTCTTACCCAGTCTAAATGATACGATTCTAGTCATGACAACTCTGTATTTAAGAATTTTTGTCAGAGTCCTTTTTATCTTTTTCATGAACTTCCTTGAAGGCACAGTACTTTAGGAGTTTATTTGCTTGTAAAGAGCTTTTAGAAACTCTATCAGAATTAAGCCATTAACTGTGAACATGATTAAGGTTGCAATTGACAAGAAAATTTAGTTATTTCTAAGGACATAATAACCATAATTATGACTGATAAAATATACCAAGACATGTCAGAATTTTAGGACTATTATACAATTTTCAAACATATATTAAAATAATATATTCATAAAAATATAACTCAAAGAAAGTTAACTGCAGATCATTTCTTATTTGACAATGCTTTTCATATAATCTAACATATTAGGCTTGGCATGGTGGCTTATGCCTGTAATCCTAGCACTTTGGGAGACCGAGGCCGGTGGATTGCTTGAGCCCAGGAGTTCAAGATCAGCCTGGGCAACAGAGCAGGACCCCATCTTTACAAAAAACACAAAAAAATTAGCTAGGTAGGGTGGTGTGCACCTGTAATCCCAGCTACCTGGGAGGCTGAGGTAGGAGGATTGCATGAGTCTGGGAAGTTGAGGCTGCAGTGAGCTGTGACTGTGCCACTGCACTCTAGCCTGGGCAACAGAGTGAGAGCCTGTTTCGAAAAAAATTAAAATATATTAAGTAGGCATGTTTATTTGTCTTTTGGATGCTGTATGGGCCCTCTGTAGCATCCCAAATTTAGTTTGAGGTTTAAAGAGAGTTAATTTTGAATTTTAAATTTGATTTTGGGAAGGCCGTCAAATATGTCAAAGGTTTAAAACATTTAATCAAAGTATGACCACAGGTCACTGTAAAATAATAGCCATTTGTTAGTGATAATTAAAAGGTTTTAAAAAGCAAAAACTTTTACTCTTTGATTAGAGGAGACCCAGTCTTCCCAAAGATTAAAATATCTAATAAAGACAGCATTAGACAGAATCTATCTCTCCTTTTCTCCTCTTGCTGTCTCATTTTTTTTGAGATGTCTCTAAAAGTGAACAAAAATTTTTTATTATCTCTTATTATTACTTTACAAAAATCTTGTTTAAAAGAGAAAACCAAAGTTTGCTTTTGTATTAATGAATTATCAATATTAAAGCTGATTTTAATAAAACCTTATAAACAAACTAATCTCAGTCAGCTTTTGACCATGCAGATTTCATAAATGTTTTATAATCTCTTACAAAATTTTAAAAATTCTTTTTCTTCCTGACTTTTAATATTATTTAGTTTTATTTATATCTTTTAAAATTCTTTTATCGTAAAATAATATTTAAGTAACTTCTAAACTGGACAAAGTAATTTTTTCTCAACAGCTATGTATTTGTATTCTTTTACAGCTTTTTTTTAATCAAAGCATGTCTTTTTTGTTAGTACACTTTGTATATAGAATTCTCTTATATATGTAGTTTTAATTACATATGTTAACTATAATTTTAACTCTTAGTCACCCTAATTTTCAGTAAAAGTCTAAAAAGTAATTCTGAACTGTTTTATATCAGTATTTATAGATGAAAACCATTTTATAATTTTTACAAAGATATGTTTGCTCAAATTTTTGTTCATTAACAGATCTACATATATTTAGCTTTTTTATATCACAGAAAAATAAGATGCCAAATTATATAAACTTAAATTTATGTTTAATAATTAATGTTTTAGTATTTTAACATACTTGTAAAAAAACTCAGACATTTTATGATTATCTGGTACTTAATTTAAAATAATATGACTTTAAGATTTAAATTACTGAAAAGAATATTAATACTATGATACAAGTACCCTTTCTAATGTTTTTCCCAGTCATCCTGGGTCTCAAGTAGCCACATGACACCTAGGATGGCTATAAGGGGAGGTCCCATCTGGGTCCTAAATTTACATACTAGGTATAGAATTCAGGACAGAAGACAGCTATGAAGATGATGACTGGAGCATTCAGCCCTTCACAGAATGGCCAGGAGGCAAAGCTGGGCCAGGGAGAAAGGGGTCATTTTGAGCTTGACTGTGCCCTGTAGGTGGTGATATAGACACTGAGGACATGTCCCCATATGTTACCAAGGTCACCTGTCTGGACCCCAGAATCCAGAGGCTCGGAAAACAAAAACATAAGCTCACAGTCAAATCAAGCAAATATCAAAAACATAACAGAAGCAGAAGTTTTATGACCTTAAAGCTTGAAGCAGAGATAGCATAAACCTGTCTGACCAGTAGACTCAGGCATAAATATCTATATTATCTTTAAGTGACAATTCTGAAGTCATTTTTTTATTTTATTTTACCAACAATTTAAAAACTAGCTTTCTTCACCAAATAGTATCACATACACATATAGACATATAGACACAAGCAGGTCTTAAAGCTTCCATGAAGAATTCTCATTTGTCAGCTTTCAAATAGTTTTTCTTTTCCCCATTCATACTATCAGTCTTAGAACTATCTGTTTTATTGCTCTAAGTAGTTGTTAGCTACTCCACAATCTGCCTCCTAAAGGGATGACTCTTAGGTGAAACAAGGTAGAAAATTCTCAAAAGCACAGAGCTGAGATTTTAGGCCTAAATATTGTACTATCAGTTGCTCAAACCAAGGGAAAAGATTGTACATAAAGATCCGGTTAAGGCAGCATGGCCTGGAAAAGCACCTTAAACAAAGGCAAGACAATGTATGTACATTTAAAACAACAGTAAGAGTTTCTAGTGACCCAGTCCTCCCTCTCAGACACCCTTTCAAATGGAAATTTCTTTTAGAGATATAAATTTCTCCTATAAAAGTGTTTTGGGGCCAGGCGCGGCGGCTCACATCTGTAATCCCAGCACTTTGGGAGGCCGAGGCGCGCGGATCATGAGGTCAGGAGATCGAGACCATCCTGGCTAACATGGTGAAACCCCGTCTCTACTAAAAATAGAAAAAATTAGCCAGGTGTGGTGGTGGGCACCTGTAGTCCCAGCTACTCGGGAGGCTGAGGCAGGAGAATGGCGTGAACCCGGGAGGTGATGGTTGCAGTGAGCTGAGATCGCGCCACTGCACTCCAGACTGGGCAACAGAGTGAGACTCCATCTCTGAAAAAAAAAAAGTGTTTTAAGATAGCCAGCTAAATGCCAGAAAAGTATATTTTAGAGACTGTTTTAGTTTAATAGGTGGTCTTCTTAACTTAGCTACTTTTTCTTAGCTAAAACTACTGAGTTCAGGATGGAGCTCATTAAGAAACACAGCAATTAAAGCATTCTCTATACCTGGACTTAGCATGGATAGCTTTGAAAAAGAATCAAGGCCATTTAATCTGAGGGCCTACTTTTTATAAACACTGTATCCAGGATAGCTTTCTTTTTGCCTTTGGTTGGGATATGTGTAAGGAAAATAAATCTTAGGACCCCAAATCACTGAGCCAAGGGAAAAGTCAAGCTGGGACCTATGTCAGGCACCCTGCCTCCCATTTCATTCCTAAATAAGATAGCTACAAAGATAAAAAGTGACATACCTCCCTCACAATTTGCCCACAAGGAAATTCTTGGTGGACAACGGAAAGATAGAACTCCAAGTCTCCTTCTGAGGCTCACCTTAGACAAATGCATATCTGATTGCTTCCTCTGCCCTATTGTTTATGTAAAAATGAAGATTCACTGAGCCAGACTATATTTTGTATCCAGTGGAAGGCTCATCAAGGACTCAAAATAATGCAACCTTTTGTTTTATGACCTGGAAGCCCCCACCTCAAGTTGTTCCGCCTTACCAGACCAAACCAATGTACATCTTACACATATAGACTGATGTCTCATGTCTCCCTAAAATGTATAAAAGCAAGCTGTAACCCAACCACCTTGGGCACATGTCAGGAACCCCTGAGGTTGTGTCATGGTCACGCGCTTAATCTTGGCAAAATAAACTCTCTAAATTGATTGAGACCTGTCTCAGATATTTGGGGTTCACAAATAGTAACTAAGCCAAAAAGTTGGTAAATTTTCTTACCAATTAGTCAATTTTTTTTATTTTTATTTTTATTTTTTAGATAGAGTCTTGCCCTGTCACCCAGGGAGTCACCTGGAGTGCAATGGTGTGATCTTGGCTCACTGCAACCTCTGTCTCCTGGGTTCAAGCGATCCTCCTGCCTCAGCCTCCCAAGCAGCTGGGATTATAGGTGTGCACCACCACACTCAGCTAATTTTTTTTTTTTTTTAAGTAGCGATGGGGTGTCCCCATATTGGCCAGGCTCGTGTTGAACTCGACCTCAAGTTACCACCTGCCTTGGCCTCCCAGAGTGCTAGGATAACAGGGGTCAGCCACTGTTTCTGGTCAGTCACTTAAGCTTTTTATTTGCCTTTTATAAAGAATTTTTTGTTTGCTTGTTTGTTTGTTTTGAGATGTAGTCTCACTCTGTTCCCCAGACTGGAGTGCAGTGGAGCGATCTCAGTTCACTGCAACCTTCACCTCCTGGGTTCGTGATTCTCCTGCCTCAGCCTCCCAAGTAGCTGAGACTGCAGGCACAAGCCACCATGTCCACCTAATTTTTTGTGTTTTTACTAGAGATGGGGTTTCACCATGTAGGCCAGGCTGGTCTTGAACTCCTGACCTCAAGTGATCTGCCCACCTTGGCCTCCCAAAATGCTGGCATTATAGGCATGAGCCACCACACCTGGCCAAGAGTTTTTTTTTTTTTAATGAGGGAATAAAAGTATTGAAATCTTTTTAGAAGTTTCTGCACATCGGTAGGCATCCCTGGAAGAGCCTTCTTTAGGAGCCCTCATTTTAAAATGCACTTTGTGTGTGTGTGAAATCTGCTACAATAACACACATTTAAAAGTACAGTATTATTTATTTGGAATGTTCCACTGTAATTTTAAATTACCTTTAGTAAGATTTTGCTATTTCTGTAAGCATTTGCTGCTTTGGGGGCTCTTGGGGGCCTAATTCCGACACATGTAAGTGTAGGTGTAGCCAAAAGGTGGTGTATTCAATTCTGCAGAAATTAAGCAATTAAGCATCTCATTTTTACATTGAATGCCTTTGGCTCTCAGATCCCCTTGATTGACTTAGCTAATGATTTTTTTCCCCTGCCTAGGTATGTAAGAAAAAGAAACAAAGGGGCTAAAATGCAAAAGTCCCTGCAAATTTCTCACAGCTGGAGTTCACACTCCCTGCAGTATTGCCATTTACTGCCAGTTTCTGCCTGACCTAGTCAGACATCTGAGGCCTCTAACTGGATCCAAGTAAGTTAATTATTAGATCCAATCTGATCCTGGACCCAGTCCAGTTTCTGTCATGGCTTCCAAACCCAGTTTGGATCAAAAATTTGCTCAAAGGCCGGGCGCGGTGGGTCACGCCTATAATCCCAGCACTTCGGGAGGCCGAGACGGGCAGATCACCTGAGGTCAGGAGTTCGAGACCAGCCTGGCCAACATGGTGAAACCCCGTCTCTACTAAAAATACAAAAAATTAGCCGGGCACGATGGCACATGCCTGTAATGCCAGCTACTCAGGAGGCTGAGGCAGGAGAATTGCTTGAACCCAGGAGGCGGAGGTTGCAGTGAGTCGAGATTGCACCATTGAACTTCAGCTTGGACGAGAAAAGCAAAACTCTATTTCAAAAAACAAAAAAAAAGAAATTTTTTGCTCAAACTCAGATAACTCAAAACACAAATTTCTGGAACTTCAGAATCTGAGAGAGAATTCACCCATGATCCCCAGCTGCTGTGAGAGAGCAATGGATTCAATGGCCAGGGGGTTACTTTACTTGGTCACTTGATGCTCTTGTTGGTCACTGGAGCCTCTACTTCAGATTCCACTTCTGACACTGTCTGTTAAAGAAATACTTTAGAGATATTAAATTTAATAGAGTTTAACTGAGCAAAGAATGATTCATGAATTGGGTTGCCCCCTGAACCAGAAGAGCTTCAGAGGGACTCTGGCACTACTTTGTGGTCAGTGAGGATTTATGGACAGAAAAAGGAAAGTGATGTACAGAAAATGGGTGAGATGCGGAAACAGCTAGATTGATTACAGCTTGGCATCTGCCTTATTTGAACAGTTAACTGCCTATGATTGGCTGGAACTCAGTGATTGGTACAAGGGTAGGTTACGGTCTGTTTACATAGCCACATCTCATTAGGTTACAGTTCATTATGTATGGAGAAACCTTTAGGCCAAACTTACAAGGAGGCGGCTTTAGGCTGAACTTAATTTTGCATTATTTTACGTGTTTTTTGGTTTAATTCCTTTCTAGGTATTTTATCCTTTTTGTTGCTATTGTAAATGGGTTTTCTCTATCATCTTATTAGCTAACTAGTTATCGTTTGTTTATATGAAAGCTAATAATTTGTATATGTTAGCATTATAGCCTATTACTTTACTGAATTATTTTATTGTTTGAGTTAGTTATATCATTGACTATCAAGAATTTTACTGGTACATGATCAAATCATCTGCAAATAGAAATGGTTTAGCTTCTTTTCAATTCTTATCTGTACAATCTGTTATTTCTTCCTATTACGTAGTTAATTAATATCTCCAGTATGCTGTTGAACGTGGTGGTGATAATGGGCATCCTTGCCTCGTTTCTTATCCTATTAGAAATGCTTCTAGTGCTTTAATGTTTTTCCATTAAGCAAGACGCTGCCTTTGGGACCTTTAGGACATATATACATACATATATATATATATATATATACATATATATATATATATATGTATATATATACACATACACACACATATATTAACAAAATATATATATATACATATATATACATATATATATACATATATATATACATATGTATATATATATATATATAGTGTGTGTGTGTGTGTGTGTGTGTGTGTGTGTGTGTGTGTGTGTGTGTATAAAATACCCAAAGCAGAATGGTCTCGCAAGATGGCCGAATAGGAACAGCTCCGGTCTACAGCTCCCAGCGTGAGCGACACAGAAGATGGGTGATTTCTGCATTTCCATCTGAGCTTTGAAGAGAGCAGTGGTTCTCCCAGCACGCAGCTGGAGATCTGAGAACGGGCAGACTGCCTCCTCAAGTGGGTCCCTGACCCCTGACCCCCGAGCAGCCTAACTGGGAGGC
Source organism: Homo sapiens (assembly GCF_000001405.40). NCBI lineage: Eukaryota > Metazoa > Chordata > Mammalia > Primates > Hominidae > Homo > Homo sapiens. The sequence goes on from NW_018654708.1 coordinate 284,533, forward strand.
ACCCCCCAGCAGGGGCAGACTGACACCTCACACGGCCGGGTACTCCAGCAGACCTGCAGCTGAGGGTCTTGTCTGTTAGAAAGAAAACTAGCAAACAGAAAGGACATCCACACCAAAAACCCATCTGTACATCACCATCATCAAAGACCAAAAGTAGATAAAACCACAAAGATGGAGAAAAACCAGAGCAGAAAAACTGGAAACTCTAAAAAGCAGAGTGCCTCTCCTCCTCCAAAGGAATGCAGTTCCTCACCAGCAACGGAACAAAGCTGGACAGAGAATGACTTTGACAAGCTGAGAGAAGAAGGCTTCAGACAATCAAATTACTCCGAGCTATGGGAAGACATTCAAACCAAAGGCAAAGAAGTTGAAAACTTTGAAAAAAATTTAGAAGAATATATAACTAGAATCACCAATACAGAGAAGTGCTTAAAGGAGCTGATGGAGCTGAAAACCAAGGCTCGAGAACTACATGAAGAATGCAGAAGCCTCAGGAGCTGATGTGATCAACTGGAAGAAAGGGTATAAGTGATGGAAGATGAAATGAATAAAATGAAGGGAGAAGGGAAGTTTAGAGAAAAAAGAATAAAAAGAAACGAGCAAAGCGTCCAAGAAATATGGGACTATGTGAAAAGACCAAATCTACGTCTGATTGGTGTACCTGAAAGTGACGGGGAGAATGGAACCAAGTTGGAAAACACTCTGCAGGGTATTATCCAGGAGAACTTCCCCAATCTAGCAAGGCAGGCCAACATTCAGATTCAGGAAATACAGAGAACGCCACAAAGATACTCCTCGAGAAGAGCAACACCAAGACACATAATTGTCAGATTCACCAAAGTTGAAATGAAGGAAAAAATGTTAAGGGCAGCCAGAGAGAAAGGTCGGGTTACCCTCAAAGGGAAGCCCATCAGACTAACAGCAGATCTCTCGGCAGAAACTCTACAAGCCAGAAGAGAGTGGGGGCCAATATTCAACATTCTTAAAGAAAAGAATTTTCAACCCAGAATTTCATATCCAGCCAAACTAAGCTTCATAAGTAAAGGAGAAATAAAATACTTTACAGACAAGCAAATACTGAGAGATTTTGTCACCACCAGGCCTGCCCTAAAAGAGCTCCTGAAGGAAGCACTAAACATGGAAAGGAACAACCGGTACCAGCCGCTGCAAAATCATGCCAAAATGTAAAGACCATCGAGACTAGGAAGAAACTGCATCAACTAACAAGCAAAACAACCAGCTAACATCATAATGACAGGATCAAATTCACACATAACAATATTAACTTTAAGTGTCAATGGACTAAATGCTCCAATTAAAAGACACAGACTGTCAAATTGGATAAAGAGTCAAGACCCATCAGTGTGCTGTATTCAGGAAACCCATCTCATGGGCAGAGACACACATAGGCTCAAAATAAAAGGATGGAGGAAGATCTACCAAGAAAATGGAAAACAAAAAAAGGAAGGGGTTGCAATCCTAGTCTCTGATAAAACAGACTTTAAACCAACAAAGATCAAAAGAGACAAAGAAGGCCATTACTTAATGGTAAAGGGATCAATTCAACAAGAAGAGCTAACTATCCTAAATATATATGCACCCAATACAGGAGCACCCAGATTCATAAAGCAAGTCCTGAGTGACCTATAAGGAGACTTAGACTCCCACACATTAATAATGGGAGACTTTAACACCCCACTGTCAACATTAGACAGATCAACGAGACAGAAAGTCAACAAGGATACCCAGGAATTGAACTCAGCTCTGCACCAAGCAGACCTAATAGACATCTACAGAACTCTCCACCCCAAATCAACAGAATATACATTTTTTTCAGCACCACACCACACCTATTCCAAAATTGACCACATAGTTGGAAGTAAAGCTCTCCTCAGCAAATGTAAAAGAACAGAAATTATAACAAACTATCTCTCAGACCACAGTGCAATCAAACTGGAACTCAGGATTAAGAATCTCACTCAAAACCACTCAACTACATGGAAACTGAACAACCTGCTCCTGAATGACTACTGGGTACATAACGAAATGAAGGCAGAAATAAAGATGTTCTTTGAAACCAACGAGAACAAAGACACAACATACCAGAATCTCTGGGACACATTCAAAGCAGTGTGTAGAGGGAAATTTATAGCACTAAATGCCCACAAGAGAAAGCAGGAAAGATCCAAAATTGACACCCTAACATCACAATTAAAAGAACTAGAAAAGCAAGAGCAAACATATTCAAAAGCTAGCAGAAGGCAAGAAATAACTAAGATCAGAGCAGAACTGAAGGAAATAGAGACACAAAAAACCCTTCAAAAAATTAACGAATCCAGGAGCTGGTTTTTTGAAAGGATCAACAAAATTGATAGACCGCTAGCAAGACTAATAAAGAAAAAAGAGAGAGAAGAATCAAATAGGAGCAATAAAAAATGATAAAGGGGATATCACCACCAATTCCACAGAAATACAAACTACCATAAGAGAATACTACAAACACCTCTATGCAAATAAACTAGAAAATCTAGAAGAAATGGATAAATTCCTTGACATATACACTCTCCCAGGACTAAACCAGGAAGAAGTTGAATCTCTGAATAGACCAATAATAGGAGCTGAAATTGTGGCAATAATCAATAGCTTACCAACCAAAAAGAGTCCAGGACCAGATGGATTCACAGCCAAATTCTACCACAGGTACAAGGAGGAACTGGTACCATTCCTTTTGAAACTATTCCACTCAATAGAAAAAGAGTAAATCCTCCCTAACTCATTTTATGAGGCCAGCATCATCCTGATACCAAAGCCGGGCAGAGACACAACCAAAAAAGAGAATTTTAGACCAATATCCTTGATGAACATTGATGCAAAAATCCTCAATAAAATACTGGCAAACTGAATCCAGCAGCACATCAAAAAGCTTATCCACCATGATCAAGTGGGCTTCATCCCTGGGATGCAAGCCTGGTTCAATATACGCAAATCAATAAATGTAATCCAGCATATAAACAGAACCAAAGATAAAAACCACATGATTATCTCAACAGATGCAGAAAAGGCCTTCGACAAAATTCAACAACCCTTCATGCTAAAAACTCTCAATAAATTAGGTATTGATGGGACATATCTCAAAATAATAAGAGCTATCTATGACAAACCCACAGCCAATATCATACTGAATGGGCAAAAACTGGAAGCATTCCCTTTGAAAACTGGCACAAGACAGGGATGCCCTCTCTCACCACTCCTATTCAACATAGTGTTGGAAGTTCTGGCCAGGGCAATGAGGCAGGAGAAGGAAATAAAGGGCATTCAATTAGGAAAAGAGGAAGTCAAATTGTACCTGTTTGCAGACGACATGATTGTATATCTAGAAAACCCCATTGTCTCAGCCCAAAATCTCCTTAAGCTGATAAGCAACTTCAGCAAAGTCTCAGGATACAAAATCAATGTACAAAAATCACAAGCATTCTTATACACCAACAGACAAACAGAGAGCCAAATCATGAGTGAACTCCCATTCACAATTGCTTCAAAGAGAATAAAATACCTAGAAATCCAACTTACAAGGGATGTGAAGGACCTCTTCAAGGAGAACTAAAAACCACTGCTCAAGGAAATAAAAGAGGATACAAACAAATGGAAGAACATTCCATGCTCATGGGTAGGAAGAATCAATATCGTGAAAATGGCCATACTGCCCAAGGTAATTTACAGATTCAGTGCCATCCCCATCAAGCTACCAATGACTTTCTTCACAGAATTGGAAAAAACTACTTTAAAGTTCATATGGAACCAAAAAAGAGCCCGCATCGCCAAGTCAATCCTAAGCCAAAAGAACAAAGCTGGAGGCGTCACACTACTTGACTTCAAACTATACTACAAGGCTACAATAACCAAAAAAGCATGGTACTGGTACCAAAACAGAGATATAGATCAATGGAACAGAACAGAGCCCTCAGAAATAACGCCGCATATCTACAACTATCTGATCTGTGACAAACCTGACAAAAACAAGCAATGGGGAAAGGATTCCCTATTTAATAAATGGTGCTGGGAAAACTGGCTAGCCATATGTAGAAAGCTGAAACTGGATCCTTTCCTTACACCTTATACAAAAATTAATTCAAGATGGGTTAAAGACTTAAACGTTAGACCTAAAACCATAAAAACCCTAGAAGAAAACCTAGGCATTACCATTCAGGACATAGGCATGGGCAAGGACTTCATGTCTAAAACACCAAAAGCAATGGCAACAAAAGCCAAAATTGACAAATGGGATCTAATTAAACTAAAGAGCTTCTGCACAGCAAAAGAAACTACCATCAGAGTGAACAGGCAACCTACAAAATGGGAGAAAATTTTCACAACCTACTCATCTGACAAAGGGCTAATATCCAGAATCTACAATGAACTCAAACAAATTTACAAGAAAAAAACAAACAACCCCATCAAAAAGTGGGCAAAGGACATGAACAGACACTTCTCAAAAGAAGACATTTATGCAGCCAAAAAACACATGAAAAAATGCTCACCATCACTGGCCATCAGAGAAATGCAAATCAAAACCACAATGAGATACCATTTCACACCAGTTAGAATGGCAATCATTAAAAAGTCAGGAAATAACAGGTGCTGGAGAGGATATGGAGAAATAGGAACACTTTTACACTGTTGGTGGGACTGTAAACTAGTTCAACCATTGTGGAAGTCAGTGTGGCGATTCCTCAGGGATCTAGAACTAGAAATACCATTTGACCCAGCCATCCCATTACTGGGTATATACCCAAAGGACTATAAATCATGCTGCTATAAAGACACATGCACATGTATGTTTATTGCGGCATTATTCACAATAGCAAAGACTTGGAACCAACCCACACGTCCAACAATGATAGACTGGATTAAGAAAATGTGGCACATATACACCATGGAATACTATTCAGCCATACAAAATGATGAGTTCATGTCCTTTGTAGGGACATGCATGAAATTGGAAATCATCATTCTCAGTAAACTATCGCAAGAACAAAAAACCAAAAACCGCATATTCTCACTCATGGGTGGGAGTTGAACAATGAGAACACATGGACACAGGAAGGGGAACATCACACTCTGGGGACTGTTGTAGGGTGGGGGAGGGGGGAGGGATAGCATTGGGAGATATACCTAATGCTAGATGACGAGTTAGTGGGTGCAGCGCACCACCATGGCACATGCATACATATGTAACTAACCTGCACATTGTGCACATGTACCCTAAAACTTAAAGTATAATAATAATAAATAAATAAATAAATAAAATAAAATAAAATAAAATAAAATAAAATAAAATAAAATAAAATACCCAAAGCTGGAGTTTGCATCTCCTGCAATGTTGCCATATACTGCCAGGGTCTGCCTGACCTAGTCGGATATCTGAGTCTGACTATATATATATAAAGGTATCGATTAATTTCTTTTTTCTTCCTTTTTTTTTTAACCAGGAATGGATGATGAATGTTGTGATATTTTAAGGTACATATTTGGTGTTTGACCCATTTCCTGGCATACAACTTCTAAAATTCTTGGAATTTCCAAAGTGATGTGTCTTTTTTATGCTATTGGGTTGACTGATGGCAGGCAACTCCTAGGTAGCTTCAGGTGGGGGCTGGTCACCAAAAAGACCAATGCAGGATTAGAGAGTTGGGATTTTCAGCCCCACTGCCCAATCTCCAGGGAGGGGAGATGCTGAAGGTTGAGTTGATCACCAGTGGCCAGTGGTTTAATCAATCATGCCTATGTAATAAAGCCTCCATAAAACTCCAAAGGGACTGGGTTCAGATATCTTGTGGATAGCTGAATATGTGGCGGTTTCAGTGCCCAGGGAAGGCATGGAAGCTCTGCTCCCCTTGCCATTCTGTAATTCTTTGTACTATCCTTTTTTTGTTTTTGGCATGCACCAACACACTCGGCTAATTTTTTTATTTCTACTTTTTGTAGAGATAGGGGTTCTCACTATGTTGTCTAGGCTGATCTCAAACTGTTGGCCTCAAGCAATCCTCCCACCTCGGCCTCCCAAAGTGCTGGGATTTACAGGTGTGAGCCACCACGCCCAGCCTGTAATATTCTTTATAATAAACTGGAAAAACATAAGTAAGTTCTATGAGCCACTCTAGCAAATTAATCAAACCCAAGGAGAGGTCATACGATGCCTGTTTTATAGTCAGTCAGTTAGAAGCATGGGCAAAACAACCTGGGGCTTGCTACTGGCATTGGAAGTGGGAGCAGTCTTATAGAACTGACCCAACTGTGGGATCTGACCCTATCTCCAGGTGGATGCTGTTAGAACTGAATTGAAGCATACTCAGCTTGTGTCTGCTGTAGATTTGATTGCTTGCTTGCTGTGTGGAGAAATCCCCACACATTTGGTCATGGAAGTCTTCTGTGTTGATTGTAGTATGAGAGTGGAGGAAGACCAGTTTGAGTTTTTTGTACTCTCAGAAGATGTTAAATATTATAAAAGGTTTTATAGCCTCTATGGAGACAATTACATGATTTTTCTCCTCAAATCTACTAATATGGTGTATTAATTGCATTAATGGGTTTCCTAATATTCCTAATTTGCTGGGTTTTCAGCAAATCAACTTTGAATTGCTGGAATAATTGCCACTTGGCCATGGTGTATTATTTTCTTAATGCGGTGTTGAATTCTGTTTATAAACAGTTTATTTTAAAATTTTGCATCAATTTTCATACATAATATTGGTTTGTAATTTTATTTTTTTCTGCTCTGTAACAAGTTCAGGAATCAATATTATACTTGCTTCACAAAAATAATTAGGAAAATATCCTTCATTTGCTCCGGAACAATGTAGAGATTACCTTATCTTTGAAGTTTTGGTAGAATTTCTCTCTGAAATGATCTAGGTCTCGTGCATTTTGGAGGATAGTTCCTTGATAACTTCCTCCACATATTCTATAGATACTAATCTGTTTAAGCTATGTAAATTTCAACAAGTCAATTTTGGCTAACTGTATTTCCTCAGGACGTTATCCATTTCACCTAATTTTTCAAATTTATTTGCACAGTTTTCAAAATAGCCTCTTGTGATTTATTTTCTCTTGTTTCAATAGTTATTTCTCCTTATTTCTTATTTTGTATTTTTGAATTCCTTCTTCTTTTTTTTCTTAAGTTAGCTAATGGCTTGTTTATTTTGTTAATTATCTTTTTTTTTTTTTTTTTTTTTGAGATGGAGTCTCACTCTGTCACCCAGGCTGGAGTGCAATGGCGTGGTCTCAGCTCACTGCAACCTCCGCCTCCCGGGTTCAAGCGATTCTTCTGCCTCAGCCTCCTGAGTAGCTGAGACTACAGGCACATGCCACCACACCTGGCTAATTTTTGTATTTTTAGAAGAGACGGGATTTCACTATGTTGGCCAAGCTGGTCTCAAACTCCTGACTTCGTGATCTGCCTGCCTCAGCCTCCCAAAGTGCTGGGATTACAGGCGTGAGCCACCGCGCCTGGCCAATTAACTTTAAACACCAGGAATTTGATTTGAAATAGATCTAACTAGATCTATTTTTTTTTTCCTGTCACACTAATTTCTTTTAGCTTCAATTTTTCTTTTGTTGTGTTTTCTTTCTTTTTTTTTCTGGCTTTCTGAGCTGGGAATTTAATTCATTTATTTAAAATCTTTGATTTTTATTGGTAAATGTGATTAAGGCTATGAATTTCCCTATGGTTACTGCTTTAAATAATCATATTTCAAATATCTCATATATTCTGATACACTGTGTTTTAATTATCAATATGTTTTAGAAATTTTATAATTTCATTTTATCTTTCTCTTTTCATCCAAGAGTCCTTAGAGAAAGCTTTTACATTTCTAGGTGAAATGGGCTTTTTTTGCTGCTTTTGTTGTCAATAATTTCTAGTTTTATTACACTGTGAACAAAAATTTGTTTTGATGGAATATTTGGTAATATTGGTAGAATATTCGGTAATATTTATACTTTATGGAACTTACTGATATTTTCTTTATGACCTGACATATAATCAATTTTGGGAATGATCCTTGTACCTTGAGAAGAAATTGTATTTTCTATTGTCAGGCTGAAAACTTTCATATACATTCTTAAGATGTACCGTATTGATTATAGTGTTTAGTTCTTCTATATCTTCATTTTAGTTCTATATCTTCATTTTAGTTCACTAGCTCTGTCTTATTCCCAGGGGGAATTACTAATCTCCCATTAGTAATGTGTTTTTATCTGTTTCTTGGCATCTCTTGTGATTATTATTTTATAATTGTGGTGGATTTTTTTTTGCATTATTTGATGTGATTCATGATAGAAATAGCTTCATTGTGATTTGTGACTTTTAGTTTTAAAAAGTATGAACTTTTTTTTTTTTTTTTTTGAGACAAGGTCTCACTCTGTCACTCAGCCTGGAGTGCAGTGGCATGATCATGATTCACTGCAGTCAACATCTTAGGCTCAAGCAATCTTCCCACAGCAGACTCCCAAGTAGCTGGGACTACAGGTGTGCACCACCACACTCAGCTCATTAACAAAAATCTTTTTTGTAAATATAGGGGCCTTGCTTTGTTGCCCAGGGTGGTCTTGAACTCCTAGGCTCAAGCGATCCTCCTGCATTGGTCTTCCAAAGTGTTGGGATTACAGGCGTCAGCCACCACTCCAGGTGGACATTGTTTTAAAAAAGCCCGCTTTACTTTCTCTCTGGAATGCTTCCCCACACCTTGCCCCCTTCCTGTGGATAATTCCTGCTTATCTTTCCCACTGGGGTCCACTGTGGCATCCCACAACTCAAGTTGTCTCTGTCTTATCTTTCTCATAATTAATATATACACTCATTAAATCATTCTATATATGTTAAGTTCCTATGATGTGCCAGGCATGATTCCAAGTACTGAGGAAGAAGTTGTGAAAATAAAGCAAGGGACTTCCCTCAGGCAGCTCACCATCACCATTTATTGTCCTTTCCTAACATTTTACACACATTATAGTTTAATATCGTCTGCTTATCACCTATAAGCTTCATGAGAAAATGGATGGTGTTTGTTTTGTGTACTGTTCAAATCCCAGCACTTATTACAGTGGTCACAACATAGTTGACATTCAGTAAGTATATATTAAATGAATCTACATCTGTCTGTATTTATTATTTTATTTTATGTATGTTATGTGTGTGTGTATATATACATATACACACACATGTGTGTGTATATGTATGTATATTCCAGATTATTGGAAACTGGTCACAATCACGCATCAAAAAATATGTTTTTTTCAGTTTGACTATGAATTTTTTCTCACCCAGGCACAGTCTGAAATCCATCATGACGAACTGTCACTAAGAAATAGAGAGCACTTCATTTCCTATTCAGGAAAAATTCCAGTTCTCATTTTCACCTTTGACAAAGAGAGTTCATTTTTATTTTCCTCTCCAGGGATTAGAAAGTTTGGAACCAGGTGGCACTCTTGTGGGCATCCTGAAATGACACTGGCTGCTGTCCATTAGGAAGGCTGTGGTGAGGCCTTGCTATCAGTGCAGATGACAGGGCTGGAAGGAACTGAAGTCAAGAGTTAGTCTTTTCGGGCCACTGAAACAAAAGCATTTCCTTTCACTGGGAGGATTTTTGGAAGAACAAAGAATTTGAGATCTTTCAAACTGTCCAAAATGCCTATTTGATATATCTACTTTGAATGGATGCCTGGAACTGCTCTGTTTGCTTCTGTAATAACATCATGCATCAATCTCCTGGCTACCAAGAAGTACAAAGCATTTTACAAGGATAAAGCCAGAAAGTCTTATAACACAAACTATTCATAAGCAACAGATTCTCTAGAACTGAAATGACCTCTCATCCTCTTGGGCCCTGTGGTATGTTAGTATCACTTTAGTGTAAACATTCTCAGATGTTAGGGAGAATATCTAAGTAATTTGTGATCTACACACACCTCCTTAGAATATGTTTAGTTCTACTCTGGAGAGGGATAGGTAGGATGGGGAGGAGAAAGCCATATTTATCACTTACCACTCCAACTTACCTCATCATTACAAAACATCAATGCCAAGGTGAAATACTGTTACTGAGTTATGCCGGAGGCATGCTCTCTGACATCTTGATGTAGGAAAAAGTTGAGAGTCAGCTTTAGTGGAATGATCTTACCATAAACAGATATTTTATTGGTGGCCAGTCATTTCAGTTAATGAGAGTGGCGCCCTACTTCCTTCTCAACCTAATCCAGTTATGTGTTTCTGGACACAGGAACTGTTCCATGGACAGCTCCCATGAATCCAGCCAGTCATTTAAAAAGTTAATTCAAGATCAGAAGAACTGGACACAATAAAAAATTCGGGTAATTCCATGCCCTCCATTAACACATTGGACCAGCAGGGTAGTGTCATGTCTGAATATAAAGGATAGGACATATGTATCAATCATTTCATCTGGGCTGACCTCCTTTGAGAACATTATGTCTGTTCTTATTCTACATAGTAAAGATAGATAACTCAGTATTTAAAAATAGGATTCCAAAAGACCATTTCCTTGGGGACACTTAAATTAGAGATCATAATGAGAACCTGGGGAGGTGACAGGAAGTGGTGATACCCTGAGTTCCCCTACGTCCTCCAAAAAAGATGCATCCATTGCTTTCCAGTGAATGGGCTTAGGAGAAAGAACAGCTTTGAAATAGGGAGAATCAAGAAGTTTGCTTGTAGCCATGCTGGGAAGATGGTAGGATGATGCAAATAAGTTTTAAGGACAGATGGAATCTACAATTAAGGTTTGGACAGCTTGGGAAGTATATTAGTTATCTATTGCCACCTAAAAAATTAGCCCAGAATATAATGGCTGAAAACAACAAGTTTATGTGAGTTAGGAATTGGGGAGCAGTTTAATTGGGTGGTTCTGACTCATGAGACTCATGAATTCCAGGAGGCAGGATTATTGGGGCTGTCTTAGATATGCCCTTTGCCAGCCTAGAAGAGTGTAGAAAAAGCTGAGCTTCAGTAAGCATCAAAACTGCCTTTATCAACAGGATAAAGAAATGGGTTGAAACAAGTATTAGACAAGTAGAGGCCCAGAGTCTTAGGGAACTTTCTGAAAGGAGGGAAGCATATGCAGAATAAGTACAAGGTGGTTTAAAGCTCAGATGCAGACTATGTGAGAGAACTTAGAAAACTGTCTTTCTCATCCAGAAGCCTAGAGTCTAAGGTGTGAACCAGGAGGACCAGGTTGGTTGTAGACTGCTATAAACACTTCCGCCAGAACATGAACTGGGAATGTCCACTGCGGGTGACCCTGGATGCTCACTGCAGGAGGGAGTGCATCTCTTACTAGGCAGGGAAGCAGGTTTTGAGAGGGAGTGAACTAAATCTGGTGTCAGCACCAACTCAAATCAGCCAGTTGAGAGATCAAAAGGAAGTATGGCTTTAAAACAGAATATATCGTCTAAAAGGTTTGAAATTTAATTTTAGAAAGCCCTTTAATGGCATCTATTCTACAGCACCTATGTTGGAGGGGGTATATGAGAGTAGAAGGAGGAGGAGTGGAGTATCCTGATGGCTTCACCAGCCATGTCAATATTTGGTTACAGTTCAGATCAAGTGAGACTTAGAAAAACATCCTTCTATATTCCTGTATCATTTTGCTTTCCTATCTATCCATTGGTTGATCAATCCATGTATTCATCAATCCATGCATTCATCCAATGTTTATTGATCATTTACTTTGTGCCTTGATTCTCTAAAGAAACAATAAAAACTGTTGGATTTTCAATTTATAAAATCGTGTGTTTTCCAAAAGTCATTAGCACACTATTCTGTTTCTGGAGTATATTATCACACTAATCAAGGAAAAGGGAACTAATATTTACTGAGGCTCAAAATCACACAATTAATAATTGGGCTGGGTGTGGTGGCTCACGCCTGTAGTCCCCGCACTTTGGAAAGCTGAGGTTGGTGAATCACTTGAGGTCTGGAGTTCGAGACCAGCCTGGCCAACATGGTGAAACCCCACCTCTACTAAAAATATAAAAATTAGCCGGGCATGGTGGTGCACACTTGTAATCCCAGCTACTTGGGAGGCTAAGGAGGGAGGATCACTTGAACCCTGGGGGTGGAGTTTGCAGTGAGCTGGGATCACACCACTGCACTCCAGCCCGGGCGACAGAACATGACTCTGTCTTAAAACAAAACAAAAAACATACAAGCAAACAACAACAACAAAAAAAATGATAAAACTGCAACTGAATTCAGGTTGGCCAGTCCTTTTGATTTACCTTTAAATAATTTATCTTTTCTTAATTCAGTAGCTTTCTCTCCTGACCTGCACTGGTTATTACTTCTTTTGAGAATACTATCATTGCTCCCAAGCAGACCTAAAATAATCCAAGAAAATTACATTAAAATATCGCCGTATCTTTTAAAAAAGTTAGACATAAGCACCCTTTTATGAACATTTATATTTGGTCTCACAGTATAATCATAAGAATTCCTATTAGAAGCCAGGCAAGGTGGCTCATGTCCATAATCCGAGCAACTTTGGAGGCTAAAGCAGGAGGATCACTTGAGGCCAGGAGTTTGATACCAGCCTGGGCAACATAGCGAGACCCCGTCTCTACAGAAAATTAAAAGAAAAAAAAGGACTCCTATTAGATTATGGGCACTTCAGCACAGTTTTTTGTGTGTGTACAAACAACAAACATTTTAAAACAACAGAAAATTGATTATCATGTAATTTTCCATACATAATACATACTATCATAGCATAAGCATAGAAGAAGTACAAGTAAGATTATCTACATGGTTATGAGCTGAAATTTGAATTCATATATCCAAAATATATAAATTTTGTCTCCCCAAAATTCATATGTTGAAGTCCTAACCCCCAATACCTCAGAATGTGACTTTATTTGGAAACAGTGTTTTTAAAGAGGCAGTTAAAATGGTCATTAGGGTGGGCCCTGATCCAATATGACTGGTGTCCTCATGAGAAGAGGAAACTAGCACACAGACACATACAAAGGAAGGACCCTGTGAAGACGTGAGAAGAAGATGAAGACAAGGACAGAGGCCTCAGGAGAAACCAGCCCTGCCGAAATACTGATCTCAGAATTCTGGACTCCAAAACTGTGAGAAAATAAATTTCTGTGGTTTAAGAACCACCCAATCTACAGTGCTTTGTTACTGTGGCCCTAGCAAACTAATTTTACAGATGAGGGGATTTGAGGTCAGATAAATAAAATGACTTGCACAGGCAGGTGGCACTATCAGGATCACATGTAGGCCCCTCTGACCACGAAGTCATCTCCCACCCCTGGCCCCGCACCCCTACCAGATGTTCCAGGGAAATAATAAATATTAACCAGCGCTTTCCCCTAAAGAAATCTCCACAGCCTTCCCAGGTTTGCACAGCAGTTGCCTCCCTGCTCATTTCTGGCCTCTGAACTCCCACTGTTGGCTTAGAATTTATCGCCTTGGGGGCACGGTGGCTCACGCCTGTAATCCCAGCACTTTGGGAGGTCTAGGTGGGTGGATCACTTGAGGTCAGGAGTTTGAGACCAGCCTGGCCAACATGGTGAAACCCTGTCTCTACTAAAAATAGAAAAATTAGCCTGGCGTGGTGGCAGGTGCCTGTAATCCCAGCCACTCGGGAGGCTGAAGCAGGAGAATCACTTGAACCTGGGAGGCGAAGGTTGCAGTGAGCCGAGATGGTGCCACCGCACTCCAGCCTGGGCAACACAGATTCCATCGCAAAAAATAAAAATAAAAAATAGAATTCGTCGCCTTGTCTTTTGAAACAGTAACTACAAGAGCTTCACTCATGATTTAGAGGACTCGAGAATATTTTTCTTTCTAAAGCAGAAACAAGATATTTTAATATTTTTTAAAAGGAAATAGATGACTACAGTTTCATTATTAGTCAAAGCCAAGCCCTTGTCCCTTTTGTTCTAGTAAGCTTGGAACACACGTGCGCCTTATCAGGCAAAACTAACTCCAGGCAGTCTGTTTACCGACACAACCAGATCCAGTGGGTGTGCTGGACAAAGAAAACCGGACTGTTTGGTTCAGAGCTGTGTCCTGAGGACACAACCCCATGACTACCCAGACTTTGGTTTTGTTTTGTTTTGTCTTGAGACGGAGTTTCGCTCTGGTTGCCCAAGCTGGAGGGCAATGGCGGGATCTCGGCTCACTGCAACCTCCGCCACCCGGGTTCAAGAGATTCTCCTCCCTCAGCCTCCTAAGTAGCTGGGATTACAGGCATGCACTAATTTTGTATTTTGTATTTTTAGTAGAGATGGGGCTTCACCATGTTGGCCAGGCTGGCCTCGAACCCTGACCTCAGGTGATCCACCTGCCTCAGCCTCCCAAATTGCTGGGATTACAGGCGTGAGCCACCACACCCGGCCTTTGTTTTCCACCGTAGTTGCGACTTCTTTCACTGAAATCCAACCCAGCACCAGAAACTAACGAAACAATTCTTTGGCAAATAGGCAGAGCCTGGTGCCCTTACAATAGGGTGGCTACAGTGCCATGTCAGATTTTTTACTGGCCACACTGTAAACAAAGGAAACAAGAATTGTTTCAAGTTCAGATGGGGTACATGGCTAACTGTGGTAAGGTGCTAGGTACCTGTATAGATAAGCTCTTATTCCTATAGGCAGAGTTTTTGGCAGATAGCTTTTCTATTTCTTCCTTCCCAGTGTCTGATATTTGGCTTTACTTAATACTTTCTAGCTCTTAAAATGTCTGTTCTTTTCCTTTAACAAGGGAGTCCTCAGAGCTCAGTCTTTGGGCCTCTTCTTTCCTTGGTCTTCACCCCCTCCCAGGCCCTCTCATCCTTCGTTGCTGATGAAACTCTGAACTTACACCTCTCACCAGCACCTCCCTTGGAACTCCAGAGTTGTACGTTCAATTGCCGGCCCAATATTTCCTCTTGGACATCTCCCAGGCAACTCAAACTTCGTATGTACAAACTGAATTCCTAATCTTTCTCCCCAAACCTGCCATTTGCTGGAATCTTCCTTTTCTCAGTCAATGATAAGTTCGGTTTGTCAGACCATCCATGGAGTTATCCTGACCTCCTTTTTTTTTTTTTGAGATGGAGTCTCGCTCTATCAGCAGGCCGGAGTGCAGTGGCGCGATCTCAGCTCACTGCAACCTCTGCCTCCCAGGTTCAAGCGATTCTCCTGCCTCAGCCTACCCAGTAGCTGAGACTACAGGCATGTGCCACCAAGCCTGGCTAATTTTTCTATTTTTGGTAGAGACGGGGTTTCACCACGTTGGCCAGGATGGTCTCGATCTCCTGACTTCGTGATCTGCCCGCCTCGGCCTCCCAAAGTGCTGGGATTACAGGCATGAGCCACCATTCCCGGCCCCGGCCTTCTCTTATACATGTAAACTCAAGACCCAATGCTCCAGGTAGATCATGCTGCGTCTACCTTAAAGGCATATTCAAAACCCAACCTCTTTGCACCACCGCCTCTGCTACTCCTGGTCCCAGCCCCTCTCCCCATTCCCCTCTCCCTAGTTATCTCTTTCTATCTGGCAGCCTGAGTTAGATGATGCTACTACTCAGCTCTATTTGATACCACTCCGATGAGTGGAGGAACACCAGTGTTCTTGGTCCTCATGCCAGTTTCGATAAAATGACATGAACACTCTTGGAGTGGTTTTAAGGAGTGGAGGGTTTAATAGGCAAGAAAGAAGGAAGACAGAAGGAAGAAGTACAGAGACAGAGGGAGGGGGCTCCAAAGCCAGGAGAGGAGACCCCAAGTGGGGTGGAAACCAGCCAGGTATATACAGAGGCTGGAGGAAGCAGTGTCTGATTTGCATAGGGCTCAGGGTTGGTTTGACCCGGCATGTCATTCACGCAGCCCCTGAAGAAACTAGCCCTCCTCCCCTAGTCTTTTAATATGCAAATGCAGGGCACCATGATGTTCTACACACGTGAGGATATGTGGGGGTGGCCATGTTGCCAGGCACATGTGGGGCAAGGGCAAGGAGGCTGTGGGAATTGCCATGTTTGGGTGGACCCAGTTTCTAATGGCCTGCATTTGCATATCAAAGGTTGCCGTCAGGCTCTAAGAGCTAAGAGCCGGGGCTTTACGAGTGGGGCCTTTACAAAAAAGGTCTTTGGAGCTGCCGTAAAAGAAATGAAAACTTTTCCTTTCTGCCTGAAATAATTTCTTAATAACTCCTACCACATATTCCAATGGCTCCCAGGCTTCTGCAGAATTTACACCATCTTTACGTTGACCTACATGTATTTTTGCCTTTTTTCCTTTCTTCTATGGCCTCACCTCCTGCCTTAGGTTCACTAGGCTCCTTGCTGCTTCTCCAACACGGAGACAGTCAATTGCTGTTTTTGCCCTTGATGGTCCATTTGCCTGGAACGCTGTTTCTTAGACATCCACGGGACTTGCTCTCTTACATCTTTCAAAGTCTTTGCTCAAATATGGCCTGCATGAGGCCTTCCATGTGCACCTTCCTGCCTGTTTTTTTTCGTCTCTGTGACAGTCATCCTGGAACATGTTACATCATTTATTTATTTTGAGTGTTGCACTGAAACATCAGCTTCGTGGAGTGTCTGTGTGCTCACTGACGTATCCCCAACTACTCTCGGCCTCACATGTAGTGGGTGCTTAATAAATATTTGCTGAATGAGCAAATCAATGCAAATCCTGCTACACAATCTATCTTATTTAGTTGGAAAAGTCCTACTGTCTGAGAAGAAAGGGTAAACCCATAGTGGCTTGAAAAATTTCTTGTGTTCCCCCCCAGATTTATTCAGGTATAACTGATAAATAAAAAATCCTATCTATTTATAATGTACAATGCAATGGCTTGATATATGTTTACAAATGACATGATTACCACAATCATTATTGTCAAGCTAATTAACATACTCATCACCTCACATACTTATCTTTCTTTTTGGTAAGAATTTTTTTTGTAGAGATGGAGTCTTGCTATGTTGCCTTGGCTAGTCCCCAACTCATGGGCTCAAGTGATCCTCCCACCTCAGCCTCCCAAAGTGCTGGAATTACAGGCATGAGTCACCAGGCCCAGCGAGGTGAGAACATTTAAGAGCTACTCTTTTAGCCATTTTCAAGTATACAATACATGATTATTAACTATAGTCACCAAGCTGTATGATAGATCTCCAAAACTTATTCCTCCTGCCTAATTGAAATTTTGTACCCTGAAAAGGTTGTATCCAGTAAGTGTTGCTTTTGAAGTTCTGGCCTATAGTAAGGTGAAGGTTTTCCTTATGCTAAATAGGTGTGGCATGGGTGCTCTTTCATTATGTGAGTCTCCACCCTTATAGATAGTAAAGACACCCATTGATAGTAAAGACACCCACTGATACACAGAAGGCCTTCAACACAAATTGATCTGCTTCATTTTCTTTCCCAGAACAGAACAAAGTCACTTATTTGTCCTTGACTTCTTTCTTGCCTGGCAGTCTTTCTCTGACATTTATTTATTTTATTTTATTTTTCTGTCAAGACTACAGTAATAGGAACAAAAGGAAAAGAAAATTGGTATTTTTTATTCAACAAAATCCTTCCTGCTGTTCATACTCATCTTCTGAGTTATTTCAGATTAATTAATTTGAAGTTGTCTTCTTGGAATATGTGCAGGAATTCACTCTGCACCCTGGAGTCCCAAAGGGCAGAGTTTCAAAATTTACAGGAACTTGAGCCCAAGAACATTTGGGCTTCCTCTATATTCCTAGGAAGGAATAGCCCAGAGGAATTTTTTACTCAGTGGTTCCCAAAGCTCATTTCCTGCTGTCCTTTAGAGGTACAGAGGTCTGGGATTCAGTTCCAGAACACGGATGGCCGTGTGGATGCTGCAATCCTGGGGGCTGTGGCCCTGAGCTTCTGCAGCCTCTCAAAGGGACTAGTGATGAGCAACCCTGAGCATCTCCCTTGAGCCTCTGTGGCTCACAGAGCCCATTAGAGCAGCAACAAGGGACGCCATCCAAAGGCTGTGAGAGTGCCAAAGAACAGAGCACTTCCCCAGGGGCTGAGCACCGTGGGCAGAACGATGGCAGCATCTTCAGATCTAGACAGGCCTTTCCATGGTCTTTGCCTAATGAAATCCTAAGGATGCTGCCATCCATGACTATAGACAGCCACAACTATAAAATATTTTTAATGCAATTTAAGACTTTCAAATTTTGACCAATTACAAAGCCATCTGAATTAATAAAATTTTAGAATTGGAGAAAACAAATTTTAAACATAAAGTAGTTGATTGTTTAACGAGTCTTGGAGTTAATAAAGGGACTCAATAAATCTTCACAGAATTACTTTAGTGAGTAGATAAAAAAATGATTTCAAATCAGCAGGCACATGCATAAAAATGATCTTTCAATGGAGTATGATAAATGTTCTACTTCTTAATTACTTAAGGTCACCTTTACAATCTTCTTACTATCTTAATAAATATAAATAATAGCTAATAGGAGGAGTTTTAAAAACTTTTAAAAACTTCCAAATTATCATGGGTTTCTTCTCTCTTTTTTTCTCCTTCCTCCTTATGTTTTATTATTTATGCACACTGTTATTTTTCTCCCCTCTCCTAATATACACTGGAAAACCTTGGAGTGTTTCCTTTGTCTTTCACTGCCGGTCCGTACGTACTCATGTGTACTGTGTACCTCAGACTGAATCAGTGATCAAGGGTGCTACTGTTGTTCTGTCCAGTGACCATGCTGCTAAAGCCTATCAGTACAAACTTCTTAAAACAACTTCATTGCTCTGTTGTCTTGTGTAAGTCTAATGGTTTGATGGAAAGGTTATAGGGTATGGTAAAAATCTCTGCTCTAAGGCCGGGCGCAGTGGCTCAAGCCCATAATCCCAGCACTTTGGGAGGCCGAGGCAGGTGGATCATGAGGTCAGGAGTTCGAGACTCAGCCTGATCGACATGGTGAAACCCCGTCCGTACTAAAAATACAAAAATTAGCCAGGCGTGGTGGCACGCGCCTGTAATCGCAGCTACTCAGGAAGCTGAGGCAGGAGAATTGCTTGAACTTGGGAGCCAGAGGTTGCAGTGAGCTGAGATCGTGCCACTGCAATCCAGCCTGGCCAAGACAGTGAGACTCCATCTCAAAAAAAAAAAAAAAAATCTCTGCTCTAGAGATTGAGTCCTGATTCTGTTAGGAAACTCAATTTCTCTGAGCTGCCATCTTCTAATCTATAAAATTGGGGAAATAATAGCACAGGTTTAGATTTTGTGAGGACTAAATATGACAATGCATGTATAATCAATGTGGTTATAATTTGTTGTAGATTTGTGATCACCTGGAAGATGAGGGGGAGGAGGGTCTTTTTGGACCCAAGATTGTGCTAAAGTCTTCTCACCTGGTCAGAGTAGGGTTGATTGCATCCCCATCCAGAAGTCTGTGCTAAGGCATCTTCTGACTTTCTGTTGCACTTTGCACATCCCCTTGCCCTCACCATACACTGTCTTGCATTACAGATATTTTACAGGTATCTTCTTTTTTACAAGAATTGTCAACTCCTTGACACTCTAAGCATGTCTGTGTTGATCACTATTGTTCACACTAAGTTCATGAGTCAGATAGGTCCATTAAATAATGTAGCTAATGACTACACCTCTGCTCTTCTAAAATCAAATTCCTTTAATGATCTCAATCATAGCATAAGTATTTACCTTTCAATACATTCTTCTGGGATGCATATGATAGAGAAAACAGTCCTCTTGATGCAGTAGACACTCATTTCTTCTCTCTCTCTCTCTTTTTTTCTGGGACAGTGTTTCACTCTGTTGCCCAGGCTGAAGTACAGTGGCACGATCTCAGCTCACTGCAACCTCTCTGTCTCCTGGGTTAAGGTAATCCTCCCACCTCAGCCTCCTGAGTAGCTGGGACCACAGGCACATGACCCCATGCCCAGCTAATTTTTGTATTTTTTTGTAGAGACGAGGTTTTACCATGTTGCCCAGGCTCGTTTCTTCTCAGACTGACAAGCAGATTTATATGGCATTTGGAAGTCCATACATTCATTCTGAGTCTTATATTGTTATTGCAAACCCAGCAATGAATTTTGACAACTACTAGAATATGTGAAAATACCTTTCTTCTTCCCATTGTAGGACTGGGGGAGTGCTCATGTGCTCAGCTTGGAAGAGCTAGAAAAGGGAGAGGGCTGCAGTTTCTGGAGGGAAGTAGGATAGTCTCATGATTCTAGAACTGCTGGCCAGGGTGATTATGGTGGTTGAGAAATGATTACATGGCTAGTTCTTATCTTCAGGGTGACTGAAAAATTAGGGGAGATCACAGTTTTGCAATAGCTAAGAGGGGTTTCTAATGAGTTCTTATCATCTCTGAGAATTTGGGCAGCTGGGGAACGTTTGGGAAAGTTTCTGTGATGTGTGTTTGGGGAGGGAAGTTGGAAATGAATCAGTTTCTCTGAAGGTCTGGGAAGGAGGCTTTTCTGTGCAAAGGGAGGGTCAGACAGCTGGGAAGACCAATTGGGATTGCTATAGCAGCTCCAGGTCCCAGGGAATGGAGATGGCCTTTCTCATCAAAGAGGAATGGCAGGGTTGCAACAGCTGAGAAGACCCAGAGAAGGGGATTTAACAGAGGAAAATAAACCAAGACTAATGCAGGAAAGGTGCCACCAGTGTAGCTCAGCCTGCCTAGAACAGCATCTGTTTTCCACGTTAGCAGCGAGTCTAGCCTTTCTCCTCTAGGCAAATCTACCTGCCATCCCTCTAAGGGCTCTCCCTGGTGCTTTCATTTTTCTTCCAGAACTGATGCATATAAATTGCCATTTATCTCTTGTGATAATTCTGCAGAACCAGTTCAGTTAGTTAAAATATTAAAACACTTATAAATAGCCATGGTGGAAGATGATACCCCCATTAAAAATAAATATTAAAGATGTAAATGATGTGCAGTACTTCATGTTCCTGGAAAAGCTTTGTATAAATAGGATTTTGGTACTCAAATCACATTTAAATTTTATTAGAGTGTTATTTAATTCAAAAAGTTTACAATATGTGATTAGCACTGTGCTAAGCTAAAGCAAACAGTTCTTTGGAATGCAAATAACCATGAGTTCTGTTTAATATGATTTATATGTTTGAATTTGTTTAATCTTTAAAATTTAAAAATATAGCATGATTCACAAAAGTGAATGAAACAAATATATAGCCAATAATTACTATACAGTGCACACCTATAAAACCACCACTCAGATCAAGAAATTGCCTGAACATCAGAAGTTTCCCATGACCCCTTTCCTTCCTGAATGTAACAATTGCCCCCAATTACTCTGACATCTAGCACTGATGAGTTTTGTCAATTTCTTTTCTTTTCTTTTTTTTTTTTTGGAGACAGAGTCTCGCTCTGTCGCCCAGGCTGGAGTGCAGTGGCACGATCTTGCCTCACTGCAAACTCTGCCTCCCGGGTTCAAGCGATTCTTCTACCTTAGTCTCCCAAGTAGCTGGGGCTACAGGTATGCACCACCACGCTGGGCTAATTTTTATATTTTCAGTAGAGTCGGAGTTTCACCATATTGGCCAGGCTGTGCTCGAACTCCTGACCTCATGATCCACCTGCCTGGGCCTCTCAAAGTGCTGGGATTACAAGCATGAGCCACCGTGCCTGGCCAAGTTTTGTCCATTTCTAAATTTTATATAAATCAAATAAGATAGTTTATACTCCTTTGTGTCTGATTTCTTTCACCTCTCATTTAGTTGATGAGATTCATTCCTGTATGTTCACTCATTTTCTTGACTGAATAGTAGTATATCATGAATTACCAAATTAACTCATCCATTTTACTGTTTTAGACATTTATATGGTTTTTAGTTTTGAGCTCTTATAAAATTGCCATTATACGCATTTGTTCACCCACAGAAATCCATGTGTTCACTCATAGAAATGCACGGGTACATATACAGACAGGAATGCACATGTTCATGTATAGAAATGCAGGGTATGCACACACAGAAATGAGTGTCACAGGTGGCATAGTTACAAGATGCAAGAAGACTGCATCCCTGAGTCTCCACTTGAAAGGGAGCTGCCTTGGAGAGCTACTAAATCTGCTGTGAATTTTGCATGACCAAAAAATTAACTCCTATGTTTCTAGACATTGAAATTTTGAGTTCACTTATTATTGCAGCATAGTACAGCCTAATCTGACTAGTATAAAACAACATAAACAGTTTCAGAAATAATTTTTACAATCAAAATTAAGGATTGATTTTTACATCTTAAACTTTCATGATACCAATGGAAGAGCTTAATTTATCCATTCTAGTTATCTACAAGGTGATGGCAGGTGATAAAAGGACTTCTGGAGGCAGGGAAACTAGTATCAGCACATCCAACCAACCATGTGGTCTGAGCCCTTACCATGACACTAACTGATGTTTGTGATTCCTGAAAGGAGCCACTGGTGGCCCATTTGGTGGTTTGGTGACATTTATATGATTTCCCCATCTTTTCTAGTGAAACATGGCAAGACATTTTCCTTGTCATTTTTTTTTCCTAGGATGACATCCCCAGTGGTAAACAAGAAACTATTGGTCAGGGCCCAGTCAGGAAATCAGAGCCACTCCAAGGTACAGGGTTAAGGAAGGAGAGCTTTCACAAGTTTGGGAATTGCTGGGGAAGTTCAGAGGGAAACAGTGCCTAACCCTGACCAGCTGAAACCCTTGTGCAGGATACTGGTGGGAACTTGGAGAAAAGCCAATAGTAAGTTATGCAGATATGGCCCTTGGAGGCTGTGGAAGGGAAGCTTGAGGCATGAGGTGTAGGGACTGCAGCCTCTTTGGGGCCCAGGGGCTGGGTGAGGGCTGAAGGCTGCTCTGGGTCAGCAGAGCCAGCAGTGAGATGATATCACTGCAAAGCAGGAGGCTAGTGAGGATGTGCTGGGCACCGCTGTGTCCATCCACTGGCATGTTTGACCATATGACCCTCCTCCACTTCCCTTCAGTCTTCTCAATTCTGAGAATCATGTCTCCGGACAACTTTAGCCGAGAACCATACAAAGAAGGAAATTCTGGGAGCAGACAGCCATGCTGGCAATAGACAACCCAGCTTAGAGTCTCCAGTTCTAGAGAAATATTCTTCTGATGTCCTCTTATAGGGTATTGAAAAAACTAGGGCACTGCTGAAGGAAAGAAATCAGATTAATGTGTCCAAGGCAAAGGGTTACCATTTAAAGAGTGAATGAACACACAGAGTTATATGACCTGCTAAAATGAAAGATCCAAAAAAACCGTGCTGTTCTGATTTGGTACTCAGTAAATGGTGAAATGTTATCAATAGCAGGAAAAACAGCTTTATATTTAATATGATGATGACAATGACACCTGGCAAGGAATATGTTGAGCAGATAAAAATTTATTTATTTCTTAAATATATCAAAAGATACAAAAGTGACATGTACACAGTGGAAAGTCTATTAGGACCTTTTTTTCTTTTTACCATTTTAGTAAAAAACTACAAATTCACTATTAATTATTTGCTAGTGGAACAGTTAAAATAACTTGATGGAAAAAATCCTAGAAAATGTATTAATACTGTGCTAGGGGAAGAGTTTTGTGAACTGGGGATCCTCCCTTTTAGGGGATTATGAGCAAGGGTAGGTGTTGTATAATCAGTAGATGATTTCACTAGATAAGGGCTGTGATAGGGACAAGCACAAATATATCCACATAAGGGGTCAGGGAACATTTCTGGACTTGGATGAAACACCAATTTGTTTGGTGTGGAGGTCTGCTTTCCTACGTTGCCTGTAGAAGATTCTTATGAATAGGGCAAGCGTTAGTTCTGAGCATTTTAGATAAGGCTGTAGGGGACTGATTCAGTTGAGCCCAGAAAGATGGGCCCAAATGAGTGGGTGTGGGACAGTTCAACATAAAAAGGGGTAAAGCAAGAGAGGGAGGCTATGGAACACAAAAACGAACAGATGGCCAGATGGAGAAGCAAAGCCAAGTTTTGTCGGGCCTGAAGCTTATCACATTTTGAGGACTTCATTAAGAAAAAGAACACAAAATTAAGTATAGAAAATTAGGCAGAAAAATAAACATCCTTGGAGGAGGTGACACCTAAGCGGAGAAAGAGCAAGTTCATGGAAGAAGGAGGAAGGGGTTACAGACCTGTAGTTCGAGGAGAAGACACCTTCTCTGACATGTTGTTGGGGACCCAGGGGTGGGTTGCTGGAAGTCCTGGAGGAGGTGTTGGGGGTAGGTAGGGGGGATGAATGCTCACAGCTGGGCTGGAGGGCCTCAGAGAGACAAGATCTTAAGAACGGAAATTCTGCACCCAGTTTTCAGAATTTTCTAGGCCCACTGCACAATGAAGGCGTTGTACTGTCTTGGTGAAAAACAAATGGGAATACATGAGGTGTAATGCATTTTTTGTCTTAAAACTGAGCAAAGACATGGTTTTCTATTAATAGCTGCAAGAAGTGGTCAAATTTCCTTCATTCATTCTAAAAATATTTTATAAAAGCATAAAAATACAACTGTCCATGTTTTGAGAGTCCATGTTTTACATTCTTCTCCTTTTCTTTCTTTCTTTTTTGCAGAACCGTCAAGTTCAAAACATGTTTTCCTTTCACTTACGTATTTACCACTGCTTAAGTATTTATTAAGCACCTACTACTTGCCCCACGTGCTTCTAAGTGTGGGATATAGGAATGAGCAACATTAAGTTTCTGATTTCATGGAGCTTGTAAGAGGAGACAGACAATAAGCAAATAAACAAACAAATATATCATACAACTTGAACCCACACACCTTGGAGGGCTTCTTGTAGCATTAGTTCCAAGCATTTTAGATAAGGCTGTAGGGGACTGATTAAGTCGAGCCCAGAAACATGGACCCAAATGAGTGGGTGCGGGACAGTTCAACGTAAAAAGGGGTAAAGTAAAGGCATTCTGTAAAGGGGTAAAGTGGTAGGCATTCTGTCATCTCTCTGCTTTTGGACTTGGATGAAATACCGAACTGTTTGGCGTGGGGTCTGATTTCCTATGTTGCCTACAGAAGAGTCTCATGAATAGGGCAAACATTAGTTCCCGGCATTTTAGATAAGGATGCAGGGAGCTGACTAAGTTGTGTCCAGAAAAACGGGCCCAAATGAGTGGGCGTGGGATGATATTCAGCATGAGAAGGGGAAAAGCAAGAGGGGGACGCACAGGACACAAAAACTGACAGCTGGCCAGATGGAGGGGCAAAGCCAAGTTTTGTAGGGCCTGAGGCTTATCACATTTGTGAGACTTCATTAAGAAAAAAAAATACAAAATTAAGAATAGAAAATTAGATACAAAAACAAATGTTTAAAGTGAGAAATGCATCACAATAAGTTACAAATTTTAAAAGGCTAACAAACACCATAAACTTAAACAAAATACATAAGACATGACATTTTAATAAACTGCTTGACACACTTCTATGACATTATTTTCATTTTTCAGTTGCATACCCTTTGATCACTTCTTCAGTTTTGTAAGATATTTTCTATAAGAACAATAGGAAGTTACTTCACACACAGGTGAACTTGCTTTTTGTTGTACTACTACAGCCTCATGTCCTTACAAACATGGGAATTCAGATCATTCATTTCATGTGATTTTTCTCCAAAAATGTATGATGCATTTGTAAGTGTATCTGCTGCATTTAGAGTACAGGTACATTTCTGACAGCAGACAACTTCTGTTTTGATCAGGTTTAGTAGAGAGAACCAAACCTTCTCTAACAATGTTGTGTTTTCTTCTGTTTGTTTCTTTTTGAGACAGTGTCTCACTCTCGCCCAGGCTAGAGTATATTGGTTGATCAAGGGCTCACTGGAGCCTCGACTTCCCAGGCTCAAGTGATCCTCCTACCTCAGCCTCTGGAGTATTTGGATTACAGGTGTGAGTCACCACACCTGGCTAATTTTTTTATTTTTGGTAGAGACAGGGTTTCGCCATGTTGGCCAAGCTGGTCTCGAACTCGTGGCCTCAACCGGTCTGACTGCTTCAGCCCCCCAAAGTGTTGGGATTACAGGCGTGAGCCACCGCACCAGCCGATATTAGGTGCTTTATGATGGAAAGAATTGCCAGACTAGCTTCCAGCTCTGCCCATCTCAAGCTCTGCTACTCTTGCTACTGGAACCCTTCTAGTGTTGGGGAAAGTAAGACAGTTAAGGGCACCAATGTGACTCTCACAGAGGGTCATAGGTATGTCAGTGGTAGCCATTCCTATACCTGGATGGCTAGCAACAACATATCTACATAGGAGAACTGTAAACCACATAAATATATCCTGTCATCACAGCCAGGGCGAGGGAGAGGCAAGTCAGGTACCTGAGGCTCAAAACTTAACATTGGCACTTGCCTGACCCTGAGAGTAAGGGCCCTCTAAATTTGTTGTTTTTTGATATTGCCTCTGAATGCTCAATTTGTCATAAATTTTGCATCCTTGACATCCCCCTTATCTCACCTTCATCCTGATTCTGTATCCCATTACACCCAAACAACCTGTTTGGGTCTCCCCAACTTCACTTTCTTTGGCTGATCCCCAAAATCTTCATGGCCTCTTCAAAGTCACTCAATATGAGGGTAAGTTACAGTTTAAAAAGACAGTGAACATAACTGGTGGTGATTAAAATACTTTTTTTTTTTTCAAAATTTACAGAAACATATTACCACGTGTACACATTGCTAGGTCTTCCAATGTGAAAGTGTCCTTTGCAAGTCAGGGGTCCTGGATTCAAGCTTCTAACTTCTTGATAAATCCATCTCTGCATTCTGACCATGGCCATACGTTCAAGATTACGTTTATCATACTGACTTATTTTTGCCTCCAGGATTTTGGTTAGAAGCTCAGGCTCTGGGGCTAGACTATTTGGGTTTGGATCCTGGCATTGCCACTTACTAGCTTGTGGAATCCCAAAACGTTACTTAATATCTCTGTGCCTCAGGTGTTCTCATCTGTAAGTAATGTTAAGATTAAAAGAATTAGTTCTTGAAGAGTGCTTACAACAGTATCTGACACATTATGAAAGTTCAGTATTTGTTATTGTTATTTTTACTACCACTAGTATCAATGTGTATTAATAATATGTGGCCCTTCTCACACCACGCTGTACACCCCCAGGACTCTTGGTATTCTGACTTGGCTAAGAGGCGTCCTTTTTCTGAATAGACTGTTGACCACATGTAGAAGGAAGGCAGAGAGAGAAATGAATCAAAGGGAAACGGAATATTTTTTCAGACATATTAATGTCTCCGAATTACCTTTAAGTAAATGAAGGAATTGGGGGTATAAAAAAATTTCTGGAGCATACATGTATAAAGGTTCACGGCATGCCGAAAGACAAAGTCAAAGGAGCATTCACAATGGAGCTGGCATCCTTTTGCTTCAAAATGAGAAAAAATCACACGATCAGCTGCAGTTAGACTTAAGGAAAAAAGCTGTCTGTTAATTCAATCTCATTCGCAGGACAGGCCTCCAGGACACTTCATTTTTCCCCCTGGGTGGAGCCGTGGCCAGCCGGGGGCTCCACGGAGTGAATAGGAGGCGGCTCAGGCTTCCTGGCTCGCGTGGGCGCCAGAAAGCGGAACCTCCCGGGCCAGTCGCGCGGTGGTCACCCTCTTGGGAGCTGGGGAGGAGGCTGCGGAGGCTGGCCCGGCTCCTTCGGGCGTCGCTTCCCGGACCGGGTGCGCGGGGTCCCCCGGAACGTGTGTTCCAGGTCCTCCCGCGCCAGTGTTCGCAGTCCCCGCCTGGTCGCGGCGGCGCCTCGGGCGCGGGTGCAGGCGCGCGGCGCGCAGGCGGGGGGCGCTGTGGTCTTGGCGCGGGGACCGAGCCGCTCGGCCAGACCCGCCTCTTTTCCCTCCCCGCCAGCCCGCCCGCCTGCCCGCCCCCCACGCGTCGTGTCGCCGGGAAGCCGGGCGGAGACAGAGCGCTTGGGATCCACGGCGCTCGGACCGCTGTCCTCCAACAGCGCAGGGCAGAGCGGCTGGCGCCGCCGGAGCGCGGAGCCACGACCCTCCCTGGCCGCCTTTGTCTACTGGCCGTGCGGCCCGGAACCGCCACTCTCCAGGGCCGGGGACGCGCCCGCAGCTGTCGGTGACAGCTCCTCCCTACCGCAACCCTCCGGGGCGGAGGGGCGGTCGGGCCGGGCCCTGCTAGCCCGCGACCGCAAGCCCGCGCTCGCGGATCGATGCCCCCGCAGCAGGGGGACCCCGCGTTCCCCGACCGCTGCGAGGCGCCTCCGGTGCCGCCGCGTCGGGAGCGCGGTGGACGCGGGGGACGCGGGCCTGGGGAGCCGGGGGGCCGGGGGCGTGCGGGGGGTGCCGAGGGGCGCGGCGTCAAGTGCGTGCTGGTCGGCGACGGCGCGGTGGGCAAGACGAGCCTGGTGGTGAGCTACACCACCAACGGCTACCCCACCGAGTACATCCCTACTGCCTTCGACAACTTCTCCGGTGAGCTGGCCGGGGGGCCGGGGCCGGGGGCGCGTGGCCGCGGTCCACCCAGGGGAAGGAAGGTGGCGCGAGGGTCGCGAGGTTCCCAAGGGGGCTGCAGGGCCCCGGGCGCGGCTCCAGCTGGGAAGCCGGACAAATGAGGAGTGCAGGACGTTTCCTGAGTCTCAGGGACCGGGCAAGCGCGGAGCTAACACGAAAGGACCACGGCGGAGTGGGCTTGGAGAGAGGAGGGCGGAGCGGCAGTCAGAGCCTTGCCAAAAAAAAAAAAAAAAAAAATCTCACAATTTAAGCAACAGATAAGTAGGAGTGAAACAGGTTGAGTTCAGGGTGCCCGGTCAGTTTGTTGCATAGAGCAAAGTTTCCTGAGGGCGACGTCGCTGGCGCCGCTGCAGAGTTTCAATCAGAAGGTGACGCGCAGGTGCCTTTACCTGAGCGTCGCTCCTTTGCTTTTAGGCGGCTCAGCTCACAAGGGGCGTCTCCGCTTTAAAGAGCCGCGGAGACGCCGGGAAAACACTTGATTTAGTGAAAAAGCGCGAGCGGCCCTCGTGAAGGCTTAGGTTTGGATGAAACCTGAAGAGTAAACACCATTTCTTTCTTCTGAGCCCCACCACCTTCCCTGCCCACATGGGCTCGGATTCTGATTGTTGGTATCTTTTCAGGATCCCTTTAAGCTACTTAAAGCTCCTATGTACCGGGTGCGATGCCATTTCCCTTGGTAGATACAAAGAGAAAGGAATTCTCTATCTTGCTATTCAGGTCTTTTTGAAATTTAAGAAAAAGTTAAAATTCACAGAAACTAGTATGAAACACTTAACTGTCTTGCTTCTTTAAAAAAAAATTGCTTCTCTGACCTTCCTTTCATCCCAAAGGTACCTTAGAGAAATGGGTGCTGTACTGGTGGGTTCCCACCGCAGGGTATTGTTTCTTCCCCTCCCCCCACCCCACCCCTGCAGCTGACTAGTATAAATATTTAGAAACAATTAGAAAGTTGTGTAGAAAGAGACAAAACTGACTGCTTAATTAAAATAGAAACCTCCACAACATGTCCTGCTGCAGGCCTCTCCACACTCCCCGAGTCCCCGGATCCCAGTGGAAAGGGGGCCATGGCTTTCTTTTTTCTTTTTTAATCCTCCTTTTGACCTGACATAGAGATAAGGAGTGCCCTCATTTCTTAAACAGGACAATGCGGGCAGCCTGTGTTTGCACATGTTCTCAAAACACACTAGAATTGTATGATAAACCCTGAAGTTGGGGAACCTTTCCCAAGGGAAAACAGAATTATTTGTGAGGTTTTCCACTGATTTAAAACTGCAGGGTTGCTTCCCATTTACCCCCAGTGTTGTTTTTAGGTCCTTTGAAACAAGTGTGACAGGAAAATAAATCTTCCAGGACTGGGAGAAAAGCATAGGCCTTTTTAGGGTCACCATCAAAGCGTTCAGGGATTTGCTGCCTGGTTCACGGTAATGGAGTGACTTGCCAGCCGTGGGTTTGTATACAAAAATGCCTCCACAGGGCCTCCTTGTTTTTGGCTAGTCTTTAATTCATTAGAGGACCTAAAATAGGAGCAAAGGGGTTTGGAGTGAGAATGATAGTGAAAGCTAAAACTATTAGTATTCCGAAAGGGGTTAAAAGACACCTCCTGATTGTCATTTTGGTTTTGTTTTTAAGCGGTGGTGTCTGTGGATGGGCGGCCCGTGAGACTCCAACTCTGTGACACTGCCGGACAGGTCAGTATCACGTTACAGCTCAGTGCTGGGAAAGGAAACAGCCTTTTAAAGATTTCCAAATAACCTTTGATTCCCTCAGTCAGTAACTGGGTCATTCTAAAGCCTCATGAAGTGGACCCACCCCTGCTGTTGGCCCTTCTCTGAGGGTGGGCAGGGGCCAGGTTATTGGCCGGCAGGAAGCAGAGGAAGATACCTCCAAACTAATAAAGCAGGGTTTGGCCCAGCTCTGCGTAACCAGGCAAGGGAGGAAGCAGTGTCAAGAACAGCTCTTGTAGGAGTTTCTATTACTTACTCCCTGGTTTTTATGAAAAAATTTCAGTGATGCTTTGTCATCATTTCCCAAACTAAGTTAGTGATGTCTTATAATCGTTTTATTAAAGGCCAGTGAGTCAGATATTGAAGAAATTTGCTCAAGAAAAAGATGGAATTTACATCAGTAAGGGTTAATATTTCCCTTCCTGAGCTATGGTTTGACTCGCTAGGACCAGCCCCATCACTTGAAGCACAGATACATTTGTCAGAGCAGTCCTAAGCTGGAGGGATGAACTAACTGGGCTTATTCTATCCAAACTGTGAACGCTGGTTCTTGTCTCGAGGGCTGGGCCCTTGGAGGAAATAGCCAGGGAGTGTAGGGTTCCCTCTTTGTGTTCCCCAGAAGAAGCCCCCATTGGTGGGTACTCGAGTCATTGAAGTCAGGCTGTGCCTTGTGAACACCCAGGGGTACTTGATTTTGGCAAAGTGATAGTTAATGAACTTGTCTCTCTAGTATGTTCTAGAGTTCAGCAAAGTTCCGGGGGTACTTTGTAGGCAGGTGAAAGTGCCCCCTTCACTTTCTGAGGTGCCATCACATGACTATCTGTGTTTATGAAGGCACTGGCTTTCCACTGCCCCCCAGAGCCTCATCTACGCCAGAGCTTCCAAGTTGCTCACCTACTCTGGGACAGCAGATTCAGAGCTAAGGACAGATCTTATTTTTTAAACCTGAAGATGACATAAGACCGTGGAGCCTTGATCTCCAAGGAACACCGGGCTGGTGCAGGCCATAGCTTGGGAGCACTTCAGCTTGGAAAAACCAAGCACTGTCCGTATTGTATTGTCTGTAGAAAACAAAAATCAGGCTGGGTGTGGTGGCTCATGCTCTTTGGGAGGCTGAGGTGGGAGGATTGCATGAGGCCAGGAATTTGAGACCAGCCTGGGTAGCATAGCAAGACATCATCTCTACAAAATAAAAAAATTAGCCTGGTGTGGTGGCACTGTCTGTAGTCCCAGCCACCAGCCACTCAGGAGGCTGAGGTGAGAGGATCGCTTGAACCCAGGAGTTTGAGGCTGTAGTGAGCTATGATGGTGCCACTGCACTCCAGCCTGGGCGACAGAGCAAGATCCCATCTCTTGGGGGTAAAAAAAAAGAAAAATCAAAGAATACAGTCACTTCTAGCACTGAATCTTTCTGAATGCAATGGTGATATTTATAATTCAAGCTTCATTTCCTTGTATGAAGTGAGGATGCTTTGTCTACCAGGGGGTCAGGTTTTCTGAGTTTTAAAACATGGCCAGCCAGGCGCGGTTGCTCACGCCTGTAATCCCAGCACTTTGGGAGGCTGAGACGGGTGGATCATGAGGTCAGGAGTTCAAGACCAGCCTGGCCAAGATGGTGAAACCCCGTCTCTACTAAAAATACAAAAATTAGCTGGGTGTGGTGCCGGGCGCCTGTAATAGCAGCTACTCAGGAGCCTGAGGCAGACAGTTGCTTGAACCTGGGAGGCGGAGGTTGCAGTGGGCTGAGATCGCGTCACTGCCCTGCAGCCTGGTTGACAGAGAGAGATTCCATCTCAAAAAAAATAAAACACAGGCAGAGGAACATGTCAGTAAACATAGCCATCGGACCTGCTGAAGTCAGACCCTGAGGATAAGATGGAAGTCAGGAAAATACAGGAAGTCCAAAGGCACAGTTAGCAGGGAGCCTTACGGGCTGGAGCAGAAGCTCAGTGCACCTACCTGCCCCAGGATGTCACTCAAATATCACTGTCCACTGGGCTCCCCGTAAGTGTTGGCTCTTCAAGCAGGATGCAGCTTCTTGAGCTGGGGTTTCATGCCCAGTGCCCAGCATAGTGCCTGGCACATAGCAGGGCTTAATCTCGTGGTTTTAGAATGGATGAACCAGAGAAGGACCAGGTGGTGGGGGTATAAACATAAGTTGTGGGCCTGCCCCTTAATAGACTTACAGTGTGGAGGGAAGACAAATGGAAGCTCGTGAAGGAGCAAGCAAAGGGAAGAAAAGAGGTTCGGGCTTAGAGGTGCAGGCTGGTTGGGCCTGGCAGGAAAACCTCTGAGCAGAGTTTTGAAAGACAAATAGGAATTTTACCAGAAGAACTTTGCATAAATGACTGAATCATCAAGGAAGAGTTAAATTGTTCCTGTTTAAAAATCAGGGAAGCACAAGCATCACTTTAGTAGTATTTTTGCACAAAAAAGTTTATAATTAGGGAAAAACGAAGGTTTTGGTGCTACATTTGTAAGTTTCAGTTTATTTGAAAATTATTCTTCTGGCCTCTTAGCAATATTTTCAATGAGATTTACTGTATTTCTTAACCTTTGTGTACTGGTTAGAAGAGTATACCCAATTAAATAATGAATAAGACCACTATCTAAAAATTTGTAGACTTTTAGAACCAACTTCAAAACTTTTGAAGAAGAACCATCTTCAAAAACTATGAAAAATAAGCTGCTGGTAAGATAAGTCAGTTGTTCTGTTTTTGTTTTCCTGATCCCCCATTTATAAATTAGTCTTTGTTTAGACTACTAGCCAAGCTGGTCAAAGTGGCAGTTCTTTTCTACTCTCCCTAGTCCTGATCTGATAAAATACATTTTAAGGGACTTGCTGTGATACCTGCCAAGTTTCCTTATGGAGGAAGGAACACATACCTCTTCTAGGCAGTTGACATAAGAGCCTTGAGGGTTAAGTGACTCCACTGACCTCCACTTCAGATGCCTGGAGAATCAACGTGAGCACAGATAGGCTAGAACTTGGGGATGTGGAGCTGGAGTGTGGGTTTCCCACAGAAGTTGATGGGAGCAGAGTATGGATGGCTCTACATGCTGAAGAAATCACTTCTTGTACTTTGGCTTTTCTTGTTAGGGAGGGTAGGCGAGTCTATAAGATGTCAAAAGGAGTTTTTAACACTGGTCTTACATCACTCAAGGGCAGATTGATCAGAGACAGACTGGAGGCTTGAAAAAACATACCTTTGGCATAAGAGAAAAAAGTATTGCGGAAATAGGAGTAGTTCACTGGAGAGTTGCCAATAGAAGCTGAAAATTCTTCAGCCTTTTGACCCATAAAGTACTTGGAAAAATCTTATACTGAAAAAAAAAAATCAAGTTGCAGCTAGACCAGAGGGATGTAGAATCCAGTCTCGTCTCTCTGCCCCGCCAACCCTGATCAGACTTCTGTGCAGTGTCCGTACCACAGACCTGGCAAGCACATGCAAATTGCTTGGCCTCAGAACGCCTTTTCTTAAGGGTGCATTCCAGTTGTCCTCATTGCACGTGTGTATTGCATTATTTCTAAGATTTCAGGTCAGGCACTGAGCAGGAGGGTCTAATTTCTGTTTTATTTCTCAAGCCCCTTAGCCAGAATCTCAAGAGATCTGGGGAGATAGCTTTCCAAAGCCCCCTCAGAAGTCCCAGCCCTTGTGCTTGCCTTTATTTTTCTCAGTAATGCAACCCCAGATACCAGGGCATGGCCAGGGGTGCAGCTACCTGAGGGGGCTGCCTTAATACTGGTCTCAGTTTTATGCTTCTTTCTTTGAGGCCCTCTAAGAACAGAGGGAGCATTCCATTAAAAGATCTTCATGACTGAGCCATAGTCTACCTGGCTGTGTTTCTGTGTTTATTTATTCATCACAAAGTTGGCATGAAGAAACTTAAGTCATTATTTTTCTTTTTAAAAATTTTTTTTAGAGAGCAGGGTCTTGGTATGTCACCCAGGCTGGTCTCAAACTCCAGGGCTCAAGTGATCCCCCTGCCTCAGCTTCCCAAGTAACTGTGACTATAGGCACGTGCCACCACATTTGGCTAAGTCATACTTTTTCAACTTTCGCTTACAGAAGCCTCACAAGTGACATTCTGAAATACCACATTGATTGCTGAGCATTTTAGCTGGTTGACTTTAATGTGATTAGTTGGTTGGCTGTCGTCCCGTAATTGAAACATGGGGCCTCAAATGAAGAAAGTACATTCAAATAAGTTACAGGTTTCTTTTATACCAAGAGAAAAAAGCCACGGATGGAGTATAATGTGATGTAAATGGTACTTGGTAAATAATCGGAGTGTGTCAATTGAGTAATGAAAAACATGAATGGCGTTGAACTTTTTCTTGTCATTGGGAAATTATTTATACCTGAGGATGGTTGGCACCAACAGATATACATTTTACATAGGAAAGAGTAAATATTTTTCTACAAAAGAGTTGAGCAAAAGTTGTCAGTTAGCTGAATATGGTGCTACAGGGAACTATAGGATGTTTTCTGTAAAGAAATGGTAATTTGGAGAACAACATCTGTCTGTTCACAGCCAAATCCCCTCGCCTGCCACTGTGCCTTGAGTGTAGGTGATGTTCAGTGTGTCTGTTAAATGGATGACCACGGGAGAGCATTGGCAGCACAACCGTTGGTTTATTTGTAATCAACTCTAACTTATTCTATCCACTTCTCTATACTTTAAGGGTAGGGTGGGCGTGCCTATTCTCCAGTTCTTATCTGTCCAAAGCACTGTACATGGAGGCCATGGGTACTGGCAAGGATAAAGGAAGTAGGAGAAAATGAAGGAAGGAGGGAGGAAGAGAAGATACAGCCAGAATGAGGATGTATTAACTAGTGTCTGTAAGTGGCACTGAGCTGCAAAAGTTTTCTGAGTCACGATGACAATGGACTGACAAAGGTCCTCAACTCCATTTCTGGTCTGGCCTTGAGTCTGATTAGCATTACTCTGCGTTGCTGTGCATAGTGTGGGCAGAGCGTGTGCACAGTGCAGATGGGATGAAATTGGCATCACTCAGAGCTGTTGGGAAAGGCAGGGCTGGATTGATAAAGAGAGGAGCTGTGTTCGTAGACTGGGTTTGAGTGGGAGTCTTGAGGATCAATATGGGTGTGGTCTGAATTTTAGAAGAGTAGCTAAGTACCAAGAGTTGAGAGTAGGTTTGGGTTACACTCAGCTGAAGGCTTAAGTCCATTTTATTTCTAGAACCCACCTACTTTGAGCACTTTTTCTATGTTAAGCTGTAAGTAGGTCTTGAGTGTCGATGAACACGTTGAACATGTTTGGCAGTGTTCAGACCATAGCTGGCCCTGAAAGCAGATGGCTGCCACACCTTCGCTGGTGCACTGGCCCCGCTTGGGTAAACAGTAGGATCGTTTCAAGGATGCTGGCTCTTCCTTCTAGAACCAGCGGGTCTTCTATCACCTGCCAGACCCTTTCATGAAAAATGTGAAGGTGATCTTTTTACTGATGAGAATTCATGAAAACATAACTTTTGGGTACTTTGCTTGGTTGCAGGATGAATTTGACAAGCTGAGGCCTCTCTGCTACACCAACACAGACATCTTCCTGCTCTGCTTCAGTGTCGTGAGCCCCTCATCCTTCCAGAACGTCAGTGAGAAATGGGTGCCGGAGATTCGATGCCACTGTCCCAAAGCCCCCATCATCCTAGTTGGAACGCAGTCGGATCTCAGAGAAGATGTCAAAGTCCTCATTGAGTTGGACAAATGCAAAGAAAAGCCAGTGCCTGAAGAGGCGGCTAAGCTGTGCGCCGAGGAAATCAAAGCCGCCTCCTACATCGAGTGTTCAGCCTTGACTCAAAAAAACCTCAAAGAGGTCTTTGATGCAGCCATCGTCGCTGGCATTCAATACTCGGACACTCAGCAACAGCCAAAGAAGTCTAAAAGCAGGACTCCAGATAAAATGAAAAACCTCTCCAAGTCCTGGTGGAAGAAGTACTGCTGTTTCGTATGATGCTGGCAAGACACCCAGAAAGGCTATTTTCAGATGAAATCGATATTAGAAGCTATATTAGCTGAAACAACTCCTTTTACTGCGTAGAACCTATATCGAGAGTGTGTGTATATGTATTATAGGAGGAGCTCTCAATTTTATGTATTCTTTCTGCCTTTAATTTTCTTGTTTGTTTGAGCTTAGGGATGAGATACTTATGCAAGATATTTTTGAAGTAAATTAAACATTTTTCACATCTCTGGAAATTTAGAGTTCTAGACCTCTGGTTAATTTATATCTAATATGAAGAAGACACCTCTAATCTGGATGTT
Organism: Homo sapiens; assembly: GCF_000001405.40. Lineage (NCBI taxonomy): Eukaryota > Metazoa > Chordata > Mammalia > Primates > Hominidae > Homo > Homo sapiens. The sequence goes on from NW_018654708.1 coordinate 321,056, forward strand.
AAGAATGAAGTTCTGCTACATTATAATGTACAGAAGAGCAAAAGGGAGGAACACTATGGTTAACCCTCTCTTGATTAAGGGCTACTTAATGCACAGTGCATTATGTACACAGGTCAACCATGGTAACAATAGTTCTTAGCTTTGAAACTCCATGCAAACCATGCCTTTTTTTTAAGGAGCAAAAATCTGAGAAAAAAAGTGAGAGACCTCTGCCTACAAAACCTCAAACCAGTCACTTTTGTCAATTGCTAATACCCAGTTACTTATGATTTAAAAACAACCAACAGAAAACATCCCACTGACTGTATGGCACTCTGTAGTCAAAAAAGGAAACTTCCTTATTGGGACTTTTCTTTCTTAGTCCAGTTGTGTTGACACATATGAACACAGACAAAGTGCTATGCGGAGGAAAGCAAGTGTTGGTCAGTAGTTTCATGTTTTAGGGAGTGGTTCCTGTGGAGATCAGAAAGTGACATTTGCTTTCGGTACTGTAATACGTGCACCAAACTGCCTCAATCCTAGGTAACGAGGGCAACAGGGAGCACCTGTCTGGATTGTTTTTAAACCTCCATACTCAAGCTGTCTCTTCGGCAGGGAGGTGAATACTCTTGAAAGGCCAACAGCAAGTGTTTGTGGGACACAACACAGATAATTTTTTCTTAAGTCGGCCAAGATGTACTTCTCTGTGTGCACACCCATGCACACTCATGCACACAGATACATAGGTCTGTATGGCTGTATTTGCTGTTGATTCAGACTTTCACACCATTAATGGGGAAAAGCGTGGCCACAAAAACAGATGCTAGGAAGCTTGGCTTCCTCTTCTTGTTGACCCTTTTTTGAACCAACATCTTTTTTATTATATTCAGAGTATGTTTTTAAGTGTATCTTAATATATACATTTTTTAGGACATCTTAAATCTAAACAAAAAATAAAATGAACATCTCTTGAAACCTGTTAAAACAACCAGTTAAAGCCACAGATGGCTTTCAGGGCAGTAGCAGCAGAGGCCAGTGGACTCTGAGGACTCCTGAGGGGCGGGGCGTGTAGCCAGCCAGGTGCATGCCGGGACCATGGCCCCCATACTTGGCTGCTTCCTGTGACAGTGAAATACATCCTTCAAGGTGGCAGCTGTTAGGGCTGAATCTTCTGGAGAAAAAGGTGCCATCTCAGGAGAATAGCTTTTACTCTGGTAGGAATGCTTCCGAGACACCACAAGGCAGCCTGAACACTCAGTTGCAGGGTCGGGCTTGCGGTGGGTGACCCAGAGCCACCAAAGTCACATCCACAACTAATGAGGGAAATCTGTAAAGCCAGTTAGATAGAAGAATTTTATTTTTCTGTGGGTTTTGTGTTGTCTTTTTTATGTTAAAAAGAAATCCAGTTTGTGTTTTTCTATAGAAAAAGTAAAAGATCAGGTTATACTTTAGGTTAGGGGTTCTATTTATTCCTGTTAGTAAATAAAATTAACAAATTTCTTTGTTTAACAAAAGATTAATCTTTAAACCACTAAAATACATAGACTGATTGATTATTCAACACATTGGAATTGATGTCGGTCATAGTTTCCTGAAGCATTTAGTTACAACCTGAAGGAATAAAATGATTTGTGGAAATGCTTAAAATAGACCTAACTGAATACAGTCTCATCTTGCCGCGCCTGGCTTACCTATCTGTGGAAAGCTAGGCTTCCCAGGCTGGGCTCTGCCTGTCTGGTGCCTGGAGGTGTGGGAGGGAAGATGAGTTATTTAACTGGTAAGCGATTTGAAACACTATTTTTATATTAAAGTAAATGGCATGGAGTATAGTGCAAATTCATTTTTAAGATAGAACACAAAACTTGAAAGAAGTTTTATGCGTGTGACAGTGTATGGGGCTGCAGTTGGTCTCCCTGGAGGGGACTTCCACACCTCCTGCCTTTAGGCCATGGGTGGAAAGTGCTCAGTGAAGTACACCTGTGTGGCCCAGTTCTGAAAGCTTTATACAGTTGAATTTTAAGTGGGGTTGATAACACCTTGGACTGTTAGTGTTAAAAATCTAGTGGGTTGACCTTTAAATGCAACAGTTTTTAAAATATATTGCTGCATTTTATAGAATAGTAAAGGTACGATTATACTTGAGATTTTCCTCCATTTTTATTTCTTCGTGAACATAGAGTTTGGGGCCGAAAATGTTTTTAAAGTATGTGTTTGAGTTAAATATAAAGTTGGTTCACTTCAAAGCTAAAAAATTGTTAAACTTGCAGCTTGGTATTGCAGAGAAGATTTTATAAGAATTTTGCTTTAGAGAATGCCACTTTGGCTGAACTACAAGTGTAGGCCACCATTATAATTTATAAATACAGCATACTTCAAAACTGTTTGTTATCTCTTGTTACCATGTATGTATAAATGGACCTTTTATAACCTTGTTCTCTGCTTGACAGACTCAAGAGAAACTACCCAGGTATTACACAAGCCAAAATGGGAGCAAGGCCTTCTCTCCAGACTATCGTAACCTGGTGCCTTACCAAGTTGTGCTTTTCTGTTTTCAAGTGTAAATGATGTTGAGCAGAATGTTGTACTTGAAAATGCTATAAGTGAGATGGTATGAAATAAATTCTGACTTATGAATATAATGGCTCTTGCCTTTTCTATCTGAGAATTTTGTTGGAGGTGTTTAGCCACATCTTGAAGCAGCACTAGTTGGGAAGCATCGTGGCTTACCCTGAGAGGTGTTTTGGGAATGCATCTCCAACCAATTTGAAGTGCTTATTCATTCAGCATGGGGTTTTCTGAATTCTGGAGCCACAGTCTGACAATAAGCACCCGCCGACTACATGTTCCTCACAGACTGTGTGCTGATGTCCCAGTGTGTTGGAGGGAGCACTGTTCTTGGAGCCAAAAGTCTGGGCTCAGAGAAGCACTAGTGTGAGATGAAGCTGAGACAGCCAGCGATCTGAGCCTTGGTTTCCTCATCTGGAAACAGTACTGCCTTTCTCATCAGGCTATCTGAATCCTGAACATGCAGAGGAGACATCCAAGATCTGTAAATCACCATGAAAGAGGTTAGAGTCAAAGGCACCATGAGCCCTTACCAGCTGTAGAGCTGAGGACCAGGGTTCCCAGGTCCTGAGGGTGCGGAGAGGTGCTGTTGTGTTCTGTGTGATTTCTTCAGGTTCTTGAAGTCAGTCGGTTTTCCCATCATGCCGTGAGGATGCAGCCCTTTTACTGAGGGCTCCGGGAAATGGGACCCTGGGGAGACGACTATTCTGAGGGGCTGGAAGTCTTCTTGCTTTCACCCTCCAGCCTCAAGGTCATCCTGTGAAGGATGGAGCCATCCACTTTGCTCCACATGGCACTGCATAGGCCATGATATAATTTTTATGAGTACCCACCAGATGTTCAGCCACAATGAATGGGAAGACTGCATGGCATGCAAGTGAAACTACTGTACCACCTAATTCCACACATGACTGGGGAGTGCCAAAAGCACCCCAGGCACTGGTTTCCCGGCCTCCACAGGGCAGCTGACCCCAGCCCAGAGGGACTCAAAGGTTTCTCCACACCCAGTCCCAGTCTGTCTCCCGTGTCCTGGCTGGGCCTTCCTGGGACACATGGAAAGCGCATCCAGCCACTGTAGGAGAGGTGACCATGTGATTCACTGAGACATTTATGGATTCAAAGGGAGGGAAGGAATGAGAAGCATCTGGGAGAAAAGTGTTCTAAAAAGAAAGAAGGTTCAAAGGCCCCAAGGCAGAAGGGCATCTGGTATGTCCCAGAGGCCAGTCTGAACAAGATAAAAGGAGTGCAGAGAGAGATAGGGAGATGATGTCAGGATGGTGATAATGGGAGGTGATGGTGGCAACCAGGGACATGGGGAGGAGTCAGGCTGCTTGGGCTTGAATTCTGGCTCTGCCACTTACTGGTTCTGATTCCTTAAGCTACTTAACCTTTTAAGCCTTCTGAGTCCAAACAACTTTCTAACCTCCCAGGTGGATAAGCATGGCACCTACCCAATCAGCTGATGCTTTCATCCTCTGATCAAATGAGGTTATGGATGTAAAGTGCTAGTACACAGTAAGCACTCAGTAAATGCTCACTCTGCATGGTCTTCCTAGTAGACCCCTTTCAATGATTCCTTTAATTTCCTTCACAGCAGGACCCTCAGTCCATCAGCTCAGGTCCCTGTGGGCATCCCACTGAGATGACAATTGACTCCTAAGGGTTTCCATCTTCATTTCTATTAAATTTTATGAGGCTTACACTTTTAATGGATAACACCACATTCATTTTTTTTCATTTCCACTCATTTTTATAAAATCAGAGCAACATTATATAGATCACACTCCTTGTTGCACAGGCTGGCTCTGTGGAACAAAGCTGCCGCGGCTGCTGCTGCTGACCTGGTGGAACTGTAGGGGGTGGGCCACCTCTCTGAAAAATGACAAGTGAATCCTGCAGATGGTGAAGCAGGGAAGTCTGAATTTGGTGTACAAAGGTAGTTTAGGGAGTCAGTAGGCAAGGTTGCAACCCAGGCATCATGTGGAAGTCATGGATCTGCTGTGTTCCCCAGCCTTATGCTGGGCTGTCCCTTGACTCTTGTCGTGCAAGAAGCTTTTGCTGCGGACTGGCACATTCTTACAGTTTTACAGTCATCATTTAACAACCCGAGTCACCCAACCACAGTTTCCCCTGTTATCTGGTACAATGTGCAATACTAATAGTAAAACCAAGTCTTGAAGAGGCATAGCTTGCACATGAAAGATGCATGTGGTTGGGAACCCAATATTTAACTTTAAAAAGGAAACACATTCTGGAGCAGAAGATCCCATTGCCCTTTGTTGCTTTCCTCCTAAATGTCCCACAGGTACTTCAAACTTAACTCATTGTATTAGCTTCCTTCAGCTGCTGTAAGTGGCTTAAAGCAACACAGATTTATTACATTATGGTCTGGAGGTGAGAAATCTGACATGGGTCTCATTGGGCTAAAACCAAGGGGTTGGCAGGGCTGTGTTGCTTTCTGGAGGCTCTAGAGGGGAATTGGCTTTCTTCCCTTGAATTTGGGTACCAAAAATGTTGATGTGAATATTTTACATTTTTAACTGGCTTTGCACAAGGTGGAGAAACATCCCCCATATAGCAACTTCTAGCATTTCCTCTCAATCCAACAACAAGAGGTATAACATCAATGTGGCATATGCTGATTGTCACTTTGGAAAACATTCCCATGAGGGCATGTATTCTTACAGTCCAAGCATGCTGTTTTGGGTGTATTCTTATAGTCCAAACTTAAAGCACAAACAGAACTTAGACATTCTAGTATATCCCTTAGTACACAAGCTTTTGGAAATATCACTTGCATTGATCACTATTTGACAGTTGCTGGATAATAGCTGGTTCAGGGTTTCACTTTAAGACAAGTACCAGTATTTTAAGTGGCTGTTGCGAAAACAATTCATGTGCTTCAGGAGTAAATATAAGAACTGATTTTGCCATGAAAATCAGAAAGATTGACCACTCTTTGCGCTCCAGTTTGTCATGGACTTAGACTATACCAGACCCAGCTGGCTGAGTCAGAATTCTATTTTGAATCTGCTCAAGTATCTCCACTAAGAGATACTCAATAGGAACTTAGAACTGATATATCTAAAGTGTCACCAACCACAGCAATATCAATTGAAATAGTTAGATTGGCTTAACTCATGTATTTATCAAAGGTTTTATTGGTTAAAAAACATACAGAAAAGTCATCTAGAATTCCCTAACTTCTCCCTACTCCGACTGTCTTCCCCCTGTGTCCCTTCTCTGTCCTGGCTCTTCCTGGGTTCCTTTGCTTACTCTGAGATAAAATCTCAGAACAGACCATGAAGCTAGGAGGGCTGCACATAGGCTATTATTGTGCATTAATGATCTAAAACCAGACACAGTAACTGATGAATGGATTTGCAATGCATTTAATTTATCTACACAATTTACCTCCTTTGTTATCTTATTTCAGCCTAAGGGATGAGAATGAGGCGGAGTCATTATATGATTAATTATTGCCTTGTGACAACCTTAAATGATTTTTATGGTTGGCCCTTGTGTGGCTGAGAGCCTACCCAAAGTTAGACAGTCCTCCATGTCACCAGCCACATGGTAAATTGGCCCTGTTTTCCTACTCTGCCCCTTTCTTTACACTGGCTCCTTTTCTAAATCACTTCACCATCACCCCCAAAACTGATCAGGTACTGCTGAAAGCCAAGTGTTTCTATTTCAAAATGGAAACAGTAGAAGGGGATCAATTATTAATCAAGCTAATAATTATTTAGGTAAAGCAAGGAACATTTTTTCTTATAAAAATGTGAATGTGATAGAGGAGACCAGGAAACAGTGAGGGTTTATAAGTGAAGAAATGTTTCAATAAATATAATAATACCTGAAATGAACCACATTCATTTATTGGGCATGAAAAATATTTCACCAATTGCCCTAGCCTGTCTAAATCTCCTCTTGACCAAGTTGTGATGTAAATGAATAAATAAATATATCATGTCTTCTAACCTCACACTATACGTGTGGACATACATAGGATTGGTTGCTATTATCCTTAATTATTAGAGAGAGAAACAAAAAGACTAATTTGCTAAGGGACTTTGCCTGAGATACGTAGAACTATTACTCCTGGAGGATATTTTAAACCTTAATTTCCCTTCTCTGTTTCTGCACTTGTATAGAAAGGATATAGAGGGACTCTTTAAAACCTCCAGTAGAGATACACCAGTTTAGTTATCTATCACTGTGTAACAAGCCACCCCAATACTTAGTGACTTAGAGCAACAGCTACTTATTCTTTCTCATGATCCTGTGGGTGGACGGGGCTCAGCCAAGCACTTCTTTTGCTCAGGTGTACCTGTGTGGTTGAGAGATAACGTGCAGCTCAGCTGGCGTGGACCATCTAAAGGCTCCCACCTTCAGAGCTCCGTGCCTGTGCCCTCTCATCTTCAGCAGTCTAGCTGGAGTTTCTTTATAGCATAGAGACGAGACTGACTTCGCGACAGAGTGTACCACGAGAGGCAGCTCCAGTGCGCAAGGGTTTACCAAGCCTCTGTTTACATCCCGCTTGTTAATGTTCATGGGTCAAAGCAAGACCTAAAACCAAGCCCAGAGACAATGTGTGTGGGGGTGGGGGAAGAAGTTGCGCAGGTACATGAGCCCTGGGCAGTATGTTTGCTTTGGCCTGCCAAGTGGATTAATGTGGGAAAGGGAGGCAATGGCTGCTAGGGCTGGTGCACTCCATTGCTCATGTCTATCTTGGGTGAAGAGAGGTGGATCATATACATTATTATGCAGGTGGAGAATACAACTGGTTTAGAAGTCAGGGCTTTTGGTGGTAAAAGGTGTATTGGTCACCTTTATTCTTTTAGTCAGTGTCTGACTATTGAAAGGGTGAGAAAACATGTTGTCTAAACTGCTGAATCTTGCTCTCTAGGGGGAGAGTGCATGCTTACAGTGAAGGAAAATTGGCACCCTGTTGAATGAGCAGAGGCAGCTGGCTGAGATAGAGGTTGGATGTTTCTTTAGATAGCAGACCTACATTGTAGAATGGACAGAATTCAGCTTTCATTTGGACAACTGGAACAACATAGCACCCAGGATATAGGAAGCCCTTTTTAAAAATGTGTATTAAAATTACTGTGATTATCAGCATGATTCTCAGTGGTTGTGTTCCATACAGAACTGAAACTACTCTCCACCATCCATTACATAGTCATCTCCCAAAGGAGTAGAATTGGTTTACAGAAGGTGGTTTTGTTCTCCACACTGCCCCTCTCCCTGACCAAGGCATTTTCATGGGTAGTTGTGCAACAGGGTGCTATATGACACCATCTGATTTTGACTGATACCGCTCTTCTGACATGCCCTGTCTACATTTTTGAGACATCAGTTTGCTTTTGTCTTGCATGCAATTTGTAATATGCCCACATTTGGGATTTAAATGAGAGTGACTGCTGTGGGGCAGCATGTGCGCAATGACACCAGGACAGGCTGCATGGCACAGAGCTGAGAGGACCAACCGGTATCACCAGGACCCCAGGAAGCCAGGATCCTCATCCTGTCCTTGTCACTGACCAGCTCCATACATTTACAGGATAAGTTTAATTTCTTTGGCCTTTAATTTTTTCAACCTCACCAGGAGCTAAAGTCATGAAATCTCTACTGTTCCTTTTCTCCATTATTTTAAGATAATTAAAATTCTTTTCACCCTTGACCTCCACAGGTTTAGGATTTTTCATTTTAAGCAGTCAATATGACGTTAAGAAATTCGTAGTTCTCACCAAACTCCAAGTAGAGAAAATTATGTCCTGAGATCCTTGGGCTAGGCATGGATCTGGAGACCTGGCCACATGCTCGTGGTCAGAGGCGTGTCAGCAGTGTCTGTGCCGAGACTGGGAAGGAAGAGGCAGCTTTGGAGCTTAAGAGGATGGCGGAGTCCTTGATAAATAAAGGGTTTTCCAGGAAGACAGAAAATCTCTCACTTTCTGATACACAAGGAGTTCAGTGAGTGGAATCTTCAGTAATCAAAACCTGGTTAATATGAAAAAGAAAAAAAAAGAAAGTAAAAATTAGAAAGAAAAAGGATTCACATAGTACAAAATAGAGAAAATAATGAAGCTGATTAAAGAGGGTATGGGCCATGTGAGATTGTTTGTTGTTATCTCCATCAAGAAAAGCATTTGTGATGCATCTATCTGTGCATGCCAATGTGATAATCAGCGCACAGAATCCTTGCCCTTCAAGTACTTACTCTGTCGCATGTGGAAAGTCATCTAGAGATAAATGTGCTTCCCCTTGGAGTTGGGGTTCTCACTGGGATTTCCCAAGTTAATTAGTCTCTCTTGGGGAGCCAGAGTGATCACTTATTGACTCAAAAACAATTAACTTTTTAACAATTAAGCTTAGCCTCCAACCACAAATATTCCACAATTTAAACAACAACACGATTATGGCAAA